>NC_000003.12:194762570-194913570 GCF_000001405.40 Homo sapiens
TTGCCCACAAGGATGATATAGACCCCTGGACTGGCATTGCCTTCCTTAACTAAGGCCCTAAGAATCCCAGCGTTTGGAAAATGTGAATCAAGAGATCCCAGAGGCTGCAAGCAGGGCCTGGTAATGGATGGGAATGGACACTGTTATTTATACCAGCTCCCTTCACTTTTCAGGAGATCTGGGGGGATGGGGACGGCTCTGGTTGTGATGTTCCCAGTGTGGCTTTGGTGCAAGGCTCCACAGTTCTTTGTCCCCCGGCTTTTGCACCACTCCGAGCTGTGACACTCTGACTGCTGTTCAAGCAGCACTGTTGTGCACTATCCTGCCTGGCAAAGTGGTCAGACGCATGTTTTCAGGGGCCCTCCCTCTAAGGAAGGAAACTGAGGTGCTGGTATTTGAATGTGGTTCTCAGATACTTGCAAAGAGCATTCTAATGGCTGCTTCACTCTCTTTTCTCCAAGGTAGCCTCTTATGGAGAGGCCATCTAGGTACAGCAGTTAGGAGCCTGAGCTCCAAAGCCAGATGGCTTGAGCTGGAATCCTTCCTTCTACTTCTGTCTGTGCCCCCTATTTCTTACCCTTAAAGTGGGGTTGAACACAGCACCTACCTGATAGCATTCTTGTGGCAAATCAATGAATTTGAATGCATATGAAAACAGGACCGGCCAGGTGCAGTGGCTCACGCCTGTAATCCCAGCACTTTGGGAGGCCAAGGCGGGTGGATCACCTGAGGTCAGGAGTTCGAGACCAGCCGGGCCAACATAGTGAACCCTTGTCTCTACTAAAAATACAAAAATTAGCCTGGAGTGGTGGTGTGCACCTGTAATCCCAGCTACTCGGGAGGCTGAGGCACGAACATCACTTGAACCTGGGAGGTGGAGGTTGCGGGGAGCCGAGATCGAGCCACTGCACTGCAGCTAGGGTGACAAAGCGAGACTCCATCTCAAAAAAAAAAAAAAAAGAAGGAAGCCAGACCACACACCATCAGCGTCTTCACAGGCCCCTTGGGATATCATTCATGATAAATATTTTATTTATTTATTTATTTGAGATGGCATCTCACTCTGCCGCCCAGGCTGGAGTGCAGTGGTGCGATCTCGGCTCACTGCAACCTCTGCTTCCTGGGTTCATGTGATTCTGCTGCCTCAGTCTCCCAAGTAGCTGGGATTACAGGTAGGTGCCACCACACCCGGTGAATTTTTTTTGTATTTTTTAGTAGAGATGGGGTTAGGCAGGCTAGTCTAGAACTCTTGACCTCAGGTGATCTGACTGCTTCAGCCTCCCAAAGTGCTGGGATTACAGGCGTGACCCACCAAGCCCGGCCAGGAAGGACCTGTTTCTAAGACCCACTTTAGAGGAGGGGAGACTCCTCTGGGCTGTGGGGGTAGGAGTTGGACCATAAGCCAGGGCATCTTGGCTTCTCAGGAAAGAACATGGGAGAGAGTTAATGTGTTGCCCATGCAGTCTTCCTTGACCCTCTGATTTTTCATCTTTTCCTGAAAGGCGTGGATTTATTTTATTTTATTTTATTTATTTTATTTTATTATTTTATTTTTTGAGACAGAGTCTCGCCCTGTTGCCCAGGCTGGAGTGCAATGGTGCCATCTTGGCTCACTGCAATCTCCACCTCCTGGGTTCAGGCGATTCTCCTGCCTCAGCCTTCTGAGTAGCTGGGATTACAGGTGTGTGCCACCACGCCTGGCTAATTTTTGTATTTTTAGTAGAGTCGGGGTTTCACCATGTTGGCTAGGCTGGTCTCGAACTCCTGACCTCTAGTGAGCCACCAGCCTCGGCCTCCCAAAGTGCTGGGATTACAGGCATGAGCCACCATGCCCAGCCCTGGATTTATATTTTTGACATATGTAGTGAGTTGCTTGAATGAATTATGCTTCGCTTGAGTCTTAATCATGTAGTAAAATTGACTTCCTCTTTGAGGTGATGTCAAAGAGTGTAGGATGAAGACGGGGAGCGTTCCAGTGCTACTCTGTTTGGGAAGGAGAGGAAGAAATGCTATTTTCAAAACTAGAAAGTCTTCTAAGTTGGCATGATCTAAGTGTATGTTCTCATCTTCTCCGTGCCTCTAGGCTTAGAAGCAAACCAAAATAAAGATGTTATCGCCAGTTCTTTGTTGCCCTTTCAAAAATATCACTGGCTGGGTTTGGGATGATATCATGAAGCCTCTTAGATCTTAATTTTGTTTTCTTTTTGCTTAGTTTTTTTTTCATTAAAAAGATGATTAAGGAAACATCCTCTATATGATAGGTCTATATAAGATTCCCTTTCAGTAAGGCTTTTGTACCAATTTAAAACATTTAGTAGAAGCCAATAGCAGTGGATGTATGGGGCTGAAATTGATCTAATGCTGTGCTATTTAATTTGATTATAGGTTAGATCTCATTACTGAAGGTTCAGCTTTGGCCTAGATTTCTTAGAACAGAAAAGATTTTGGACTCCAGACACTGGCCCACTCATATGAAGCAGTGTGCAATTCCGTGTTATTAAAGTGCAGGACCGCAAGAACACGGAGGCGTTTGTTATTTCAAATCCATTTAGGAATAAGGCGAGGGAAAAGGAAGGAAAGAGGAACGGAGGAAAGAAGAAAGGAGGAAAAGTTGGAAGAAAGGAAGGAAGGAGAGATTCTAGTGAATTTCTGTAGAATTTTTTTTTTCTTTTAAATTTTATTTTTATTTTTTTTGGAGACGGAGTCTCGCTCTGTATCCCAGGCTGGAGTGCAGTGGCGCGATCTTGGCTCATTGCAAGCTCGATCTCGGCTCGTTGCAAGCTCCGCCTCCCGGGTTCCCTCCCGGGTTCACGCCATTCTCCTGCCTCAGCCTCCCGAGTAGCTGGGACTACAGGCGCCCAGTAGAGATGGGGTTTCACCGTGTTGGCCAGGATGGTCTTGATCTCCTGACCTTGTGATCCACCCACCTCAGCCTCCCCAAGTGCTGGGATTACAGGCGTGAGCCACCGCGCCCGGCCAGAATTTATTTCTAAGGGCTTAACATACTGAACACTTTCTAGTATTCTCTGAAGGGAAGATTCTGGAAAATAAAATTAAGAAATGCTTCACTGAAACAAAGCCTCTTCAGGAATTCATCATGAATTTTCCTACCATCAATTTCCCCTTCTTTCTCTTGAGACAGTCTGTCACCTCATTGGCCCACACTTTGGTCCTGCAAATCCTGCTCCAAGGTCTCAAAGAAAAGTTTCAATTGAGCGATTGGCTCTCAGAGTTCTTACACTACACGCTTAGGTTTCTTTATTTTTTTTTTTAAATTGATGCATAATATATCACATATACACCATGGAATACTACTCAGTCATAAAAACAATGAAATAACATCTTTTGCAGCAACTGGGATGGACCTGGAGGTCACTATCCTAAGTGAAGTAACTCAGGAATGGAAAACCAAATAGCATGTGTTCTCACTTATAAGTGAGAGCTAAGCTAAGCTATGGGTACACACAGACACACAGAGTGGTATAATGAATTTTGGAGACTCAGATGCAGGGAGGGAGGGAGGTGAGGGATAAAAAACTACATATTGGGGCCAGGCGCAGTGGCTCAAGCCTGTAATCCCAGCATTTTGGGAGGCTGAGGTGGTTGGATCACCTGAGGTCAGGAGTTCGAGACCAGCCTGGCCAACATAGTGAAATCCCATCTCTACTAAAAATACAAAAAATTAGTTGGGCATGGTGGCAGGCGCCTGTAATCCCAGCTACTCAGGAGGCTGAGGCAGGAGAATCGCTTGAACCTGGAAGGTGGAGGTTGCAGTGAGCCGAGATTGTGCCATTGCACTCCAGCTTGGGCAACAAGAGCGAAACTCCATCTCAAACAAACAAACAAACAAAACAACAACAACAACAAAGACAAACCACAAAACAAAACAAAAAAACCCTACATATTGGGTACAGTGTACACTACTCAGGTGATGGGTGCACTAAAATCTCAGCCTTCACCATTATACAATTCATCCATGGAACCAAAAACCACTTGTACCCCTAAAGCTATTGAAATAAAAAAAATAAAATTGATGCATAATAGGTATACATATTTTTGGGATACCTTTGATAATTTGGTATGTTGACATAGTGTGTAAACATCAAATCCGGGTGATTCAGATATCCACCACCTTAAATATTTGCCTTTTCTTTATGCTATAATCATTCAAATTATTCCTATCTAACTGTTTTGGAATGTACAATAGATTATTGTAAACTATAGTCATCCTGCTGATCTATCCAACACTAGGTCTTATTTCTTCGATCTAATTGTATATTTGACCGGTTAATCAACCTCTCTCCGTCCTCTCAGGGCTTTCTTTAAACATAGATCAAAGAAAAAAAATTTGAATTGGGGGCTAACCCCTCTGTTTTTCTACGAAACCAGAAACCTTACGCTGTCTTCACACTTTCGCAACTTCCTTTTATTGGCATAATTTGAGCAAGTGTGTGTGTGAATGTGACTCTTGCCAGTTAGTTTTGCACCACTGGAGAGATGTGAAAGTATTTGCTCTTGCTGAGATGCAACGAGGGGTCGGGTCAGTGCTAACTTGACTACTCATTTCTATTTGACCTTGCAGAGAAGGTTCTTTCAAGAGCACTTAAAAACAATAGCCTTGCTGGGACAAAGTGAAAAACACTGTGAGAGCCTAGAATGTGTACACTGGAGAAAGACACAACAGGACACGAGAGCTGTCCCAGATATCCGAAGGGGGCTACCTGGGGAAGGAAGCAGATTCATTCTGTGCAGCCCAAAGAGGTGGAACTGGGCTGGGAGGGAGGATGTGGGTCTAAGCAAAGTGCCCCACGGACGCCGCTGTCTAAGAGCAGTGCTGTTAGCTCCCCATGGGTGGGGTTGTTGCAGCCGAGGCTGGGGGGCTAGTTGGCAGCCATGCTGCAGGAGGGGACACCAGCCTTGGGGGAGAGCCGTCTGTTAGCTCCTCACTTCTCGGGTCTTGCCCAACCCTGCCTTCATAAACACTAGAAGAATCCTCCTTGTGAGTGGGATGATATGCCCAGGAATGTTGTGGTAGGGCTAGGAGAGGACAGGGAGAGTCAGCTGCCTTGCCAAGAGCCCAGGACGGGAGGTCCTGGGCCAGGTGGATAGCACCTCCCTCAGCCTCAGAACTCAGAGGCTGGCTCAGAGCCAACACCATTCTGCCCAGTTGTCAATGAAGACTTTCACTCTTAAGAGGGTGAAGGGCAAAACCTAAAGGATTTTTCCAACAGTTGTACTCTGATTGCGGAAACCAAAGGAAAGAGTCATGGGTTCTGACGAAAGGTTAGAAAAGCTTTTGGGAGGAGAAGGCATTGAACCTTGATGAGTGGGAAGTTTAACTTCTGGGAAAGTTAAACTGAAATTCATCTGAGCCGCATTATGCTCTTGGCTGTCCTTCCTTTTACCCTATTCAAACCAATGTAGTCAGCTTACCTCCCGTCTTGGGCAGGGCCTGGGGTGGGAGTAGAGCTGGGGTGAGGTGGGACCACAGTGAATCAGACCCAGCCCCTGCCCACCAGGACCTGTAGTCTGGTCACTGATAATCCAGTAGAAGGCAGTAAATTGTGAGTGCCATAGAAAAGGTACCTTGTGGGGGGCTCGCAGGACAGACCATCACACCTGGCTGGGGATCAGGAATGCTTCATGGGGCAGTTCCTCTTTGAGATGTGTGCTGAGGGATGGGCAGGGCTTTTGAGTGAAGGAAGGAGGGTAGATGTGAGTCTCTATTATAATTCTCCGGCAAAAATATTCTGGTTTCTCTCTCTTAGTGGGTAGATTGGTAGGAAGATAAGGTTGGTTTTGGTAGGCTTTTTCTCTTTCAGGTATCCGATACCCACTCCTCACCTTAAAAGATATCTGTGTCTGTTAACTGTCCTTCTTAGGTCCAGAATCAAACTCATCTGTCAATGGGCTCCATGGATAGGGACCAGCAGGGGAGTTAATGGCCCTGGAGACAGAAGGGGCAGGAGGTCAGGAGTCAGGGCTTCGGGAGCAGCCAAGGGGCATTGGGAGGAAAGAGACTGCAGAGAGACTGAAAGGTAACTCATTACGTGACAAAGACTTACTGTTATTACTGATAATTTGCAGCAGGCACTGTGTTGGGAACTGGGTATCCTAAGATGAGGATAGCAGGGCGTCTGCCCCAGGGACCCCCCGCACGGAGGTGGCTGTGTCGGCAACAGTGGTGTCACAGTAGGTAAGTGCAGCGAGCAAAACAGGCCACAGAAGTGCGCACTGGTCCACGGTGACCCCAAGGAGGACATGATCCCCCTTGTCTGGGAGGTAAGGACAGCAGGCAGCCCACCTGCAGCTGGGAGTGGTGATGGGAGAAGCTGCCGGGCTGGCTTCTTGCAGGTCGGCTCTTAGAGTTGGGCCTTTTTGGCCAATTAAATGGTCTCACCTCTCCCTTAAATTCAAGAACTTTCTCCATGAATTCTCAGTCCTGTGCTCACCCAGCCTCTGCTGCCTCTTTTGCTGTTGGGTGGCTGTGGTCGCCACAGGTTCTGCTGCATTTTAGAGACCGAGTCAGCCTTCTGGACTTCCCACCTGCTGGGTAAAACTCAAGTAACATGTGAGAGCCGCGCTCCTCAGGCCCCACCCCCTGTGGGTGATTGATTTCTAAGTAGGGGAAGCCCGCCCTCCTCAGGTCCCACCCCTTGTAGATGATTGATTTCTAAAGTAACAAGTGAGAGCCAAGCTCCTCAGGCCCCACCCCTTCTGGATGATTGATTTCTAAGCAGGGGAAGCCCGCTCTCCTCAGGCCCCACCCCTTGTAGATGATTGATTTCTAAAGTAACAAGTGAGAGTTGCGCTCCTCAGGCCCCACCCCTTGTAGATGATGGATTTCTAAGCAGGGGAAGCGCGGCCGCCCCGGGTTAGACACGCGTCTGTTTGCTTGCAGATGTGCACACACTGTCTCCGGCTTCTTCTGTGGCTTGGTAGAAGCCCCAGCTTTTTAACTTATTAAGCACAGCTCTTCCCTCTGTAGGACTGCAGGCAGGACAGTCCTCTTCCCGGGCTCACCGCAACATTCAGTAGCTGCTTTGAAGGAACAGAATAAGGTTGCCACATGCCAGTCTGTCCTCCGATCACTTCAGGGTTCCACTCACCGTGGGTTCAAGGCTTCTTTGATTCTTTGTTTCCTTTAGTTTTCATTCTCTCCTCTTCAGAACAAGAGTAGATGGTTCGGTGTATGCAAATATCACAGTTCCAGGTAACTTGAAGGAGCAGTTTGGATTTAGGTATTCATTCTTACTTTTATAGGACTGTAGATATCTCTTTATGCAAATAAGACTTACTATTGTATTATAAGAGCAATAACCATGCACTGCTTCAAATGACATCATTTACATTTTTATTTTTGCAATAAGAATATATTTAGGCAACAGAATCAATGCTGCTTTTTGAGAGGTATTTTCTAATTTCTAATGTTGATGGGTTCAAAGACTTGCTATGAGTACATGGGTCACAGACACCACCTCATGCAAAGCAGAAAGGAAATAAATCAAGGAATGAGAACGAGAGCCAACACCATTCTTTCTTTCTTTTTTTTTTTTTTTGAGACAGAGTCTTACTCTGTTGCCCAGGCTGGAGTGAAGTGGTGCAATCTTGGCTCACTGCAACCTCTGCCTCCCGGGTTCACACCATTCTCCTGCCTCAGCCTCCCGAGTAGCTGGGACTACAGGCGCGTGCTACCATGCCCAGCTAATTTTTTGTATTATTAGTAGAGACAGGGTTTCATCATGTTGGCCAGGATGGTCTCGATCTCCTGACCTTGTGACCTCCTGACCTCGTGATCTGCCTGCCTCGGCCTCCCAAAGTGCTGGGATTACAGGCATGAGCCACCGCGCCTGGCCGCGCCAACACCATTCTGCCCAGTTGTCAATTAAGACTTTCACTCTTAAGCAGAGTGAAGGGTAAAACCTAAAGGATTTTTCTCACAGTTGTACTCTGATTGTTTGTGGAAACCAAAGGAAAGAGTCATTGGTTCTGATGAAAGGTTAGAAAAGCTTTTGGGAGGAGATGGCATTGAACCCTGATGAGTGGGTCATTTGGGTAAACTAAAAAGTGGTGGTGGGGAAAGGAGGAGGGACGTAAAGGGGGAGCAGACCCCTTGGCCCACTGCCCGTGTCCCCTTGGCTTTTCACTGGTGCAAGCTGAACTTGCATGCCGAAGAGTCCATGTCCCTCCCGCCCAGCAGAAACCCACACCTGTGACTGATGGGAGTGGTGGACAAATACCCACAACTTCCTCTCTCTACTCTTGGCTGAGGACAATTCTGAAGTGAGCCCTACACTGTCTCCCAGGTAGGATCAACTGTTAGTTGCTACAATGGGAACCTGCTGAAAAAAGTACCCTTTATTGACTTCTTTTTGTTCCCCACTATCCTGCTGGTTTTTTCTGTCCCAAATATACTTGCACTTGAATCCTTGTCTAAGGGTCTGAGAATCCAACCTAAGATAAAAGATGTTTCAGTAGCTGGAACAAAACATGTAAATGGAATGGGTTGGGTGTATTTGAAAGGCATGAATGCTCCAAGGGGGCTAGTGGCTTGGAAGTTTAGAAGGAGATGAGACTAGAATGATAGGAGTCATGATGTGAAGTATCTGAATCCTGAACAAAATAATCTAACTTTTTTGTAGACAATGGGAAACCATGGGGCTGATGAGGGTGGTGAAAACTTTCTCCAAGGTCTGCAAGCATCCGCTTCTCTGGCTCAGGCTCATGGGGCTATTTGCTTCTCTTTCAGCCCCTCCATTCTGAATCACTTACTTGTTAGGGATTCTGCAGGATGCACCTATGGTCCACCAAGTTGGTGTCTGCTTTTGAGGAGAACACTGAATTTCTTCTGGAGCTTCTTGAGCTTCTTTGTGGAAAGAGCTAGGGTTTTTGGAAAAGGCCAGACTTTTGGAACAGTATAGGCTATTTTGGCATTAATTGGATTCTTCCTCATAGGCAGAAGAAGGTGAGTGGCTGGAACTAGTCATTCTAGTTCTTACAATCTCAGGAGGAATGTTTGATGCAAAGGAGTCAGACAGCTGTAAGAAGAGCTCAGCTCACTGAGTTTGGCATTCCTGGGGGCAAATAGGAAAAGACTTCCAGCCAGTGTTAGGGAGTCAGATGGCAGTTGCTGGTGACATTAGAGCTGTTCACCAGGGCTTCGCAGGAGGGAAAGCTGTCCATCAAACAACACCCTATCTACTGAGGGCCTCCTGGGCTTTGGAGAATGCCCCTCAGCCCTGGTGATTATCTGAGACAGTGGGGGGTGTCCAGGAAGTTTGCAATAAGGAGGCGCAAGAGGCTGTTCTTGTTCATCCAAAAGAAGTGGAAAGGAGACAGGGAAGTATGTCTGCTTTGTGGGGAAGGCCCTGGTGCTGGCTAACAGTAAGCAATGTGGTCTTGTAATGCTAGTGGGCAAAAAGCAAAGGGATGTCAGCAATCCAGCCTGTGTTTGTTGAATGCATTTGAGTCAGGTCCTAGGCTGGGCATTGAGCGAGGGAGTCAGGAGAAGGAGCAAGATAAGCCCAAGGAATTCATGGTCAGGGGTCATCAAGAAGGTATACGCACATCTAACTGTAATTCCAGATGCAGTCTGACCTGAGCCATGAAGAAGTGCAGAGTCCCCAAGAGGCCAGAGAGCTCACGTCTGGTTAGAGTCGGGGTGTTTGATGGGAAGATGAAAGGAGGAGCTGGCATCTGAGGTGAGCCTTGTGGGATGTGCAGGGTTTGGATATATGGAGAAGGGCGTCGGGAGATGGGGAGTTTTATTCCCAGGGACATTATTGGGAGGGACTGAAGAATCACTCTGGGTCCAGCTCCTGGGAAGGGGTTCTTGGCTCACTGCCTGCCCTAAGGCCACCTTTCCCCTGTGTAAGTTCCCCCTCTAGTCTTTTAGTCCTGGCACTTGGGTCCAGGAGCAGGAGTCCTGGCTCATCTTAGCATTTAGGGAGGCCACATCCCCTCTCTGGGGCACTGTTCCACCACTTAGAACACAAGGAAGTTGGGCTGGTCAAAGAGTATCTGTGTTAGGGAAGGGCTGTCTAGTTACATCCTCCACCTACCCTCGGTGAGAGGCACCGCTGGGCTTAGCCTGGTTTCTGACAGGAGCAGGGATGTCCCATCCCTCAAGGGTGTTCAGGTGTGTGTGGTAGGAAATTCACTGGAATGGCATTCTCTCACATTTTAGAATTCTTTCAGAGTAACACTTACCCCATACATCTACTTCCCCCTCCCACACTTACCACCCCCAATGAAAACACAAAGCCAGTTTGCCCGCGATACATGATGTGCTGTGCCCAGCCGACTCCGAGGGAATGAGCCTGCTGCCAAGCTCCGTGCAGGCTTGCCTTGCGGGGAGAGCTGCCGGCTCATTAAATGCCTTCATCTGTGAGCCCATGAGTGCACACTCTGCGTGCCAAGGTGCAACGTGAGTCTAATGAAAGAATTATTAATGTGCACACCTCAAATGCAAATAGAATAAGGCCCCCACAAAAACACTCTCAGAAGTTAACCGGAATGCTTATGCACTGCCAGTAGAGGGGTGGCTCACCCTTTTTCTTGCCAGCCCATTCTGAATCTGGGCATTTCTCCTGGGAAGTTCTTCCTCAGATGGAGTGGAGGTCAGTCTTCCCGTGACTCTGACTTCAGGGGCCAGGTTACCTTGTGGCAAGCCCAAAGCCCTGCTCTTTCTCGTCTCCCAAATCCTGCTCTTTCATGCTCTTCTCTGACACTTCCTGTTAGTCACTTCTTGGAGTTCCTGGCTGGGTCGTCTCTGAAGGGCGTTCCTTGGCTCTGTCGCATCGTCTGCTCTGCAGTCTTTGGCTTGCCAGTACTGACCTCCTTAGGTCAATAGGACATTTAGTGTGTGCTGGGCAGTAGGGCAGAGGAGGGATAAAGGATGAGTCACACAAGCCCTATGGGGGCTCACAGTCCAAGGAAGGAGAGAACATCCACCTGCAGATAAGTGCACAATGCTAGGTGCCTGAAAAGAGGCACAGAGGGGGCTCTAGAAATTGCAGGTGGGAATTCAGAGTCCTGTCCAGCTCAGTGGTGTTGGGAGAGAGGGAAGGGGATGGGAATGGGATGTTAGAAAAGATGTCTGGGAGAAGGTGGCTTTGAATTGGATCAAGTAGGATATACAGGATTTGGTCAGGCAAAGATGTGGAATAATCTAGAGAACAGTGAGCGGGAAGATGAAAAAGGCAGGCAGATACATGAGACTGTGAAGAGGTCAGTTTGGCAGATGCAAAGTACACAGGGTGTGGTTGGGGTTAGAGAGAGTTGACGCTGGGGAGACAGGTGGTTCCCATTATGAACAGACTTGAGTGTCATTTTATGGACTTTAGATTTGGGAGATGCCTATTGTCTGTCTCACTAGATCTAGTCTCCACTCCACAGTGGTAGACTGTTTGCAAACCCATCCTTAGTTATTCCCCTCCTGGACCCATGCCCCCTTGTGCTGTAACTTTGACTGCTCTCCCACTCTGATTCTGAGCTCTGACATGTAACTTGCTTGGTCAATGGGATGTCAGCAGTTGTCTCTGCATAAGCAGAGACTTGAAAAATGATTGCGCACTGGTGTTTGTCCTCTCTTGCTGCTCCTGGAATCCTGCTGCCACATGAATGAGCATGCTGAAGGCTAAGAGGCTATGTGGATGGAGAAGCACTGAAGCTCCCCGTCTGGCACTCAGCCGACCATAGATGCCTGAGTGAGTGCTAGCAGAGGTCAGTGGGGCCTGGCCCAGAGCAGAGGAACTGCCCAGCTGAGCTCAGCCCAAATTGCCAAGCTGCAGAATTGTGAGCTAAAAAATGGTTGTTGTTTTAACATTCTAAATGTTGGGGTCGTTTATTATGCAGCAAAAACCAACTGCCATAGGTATAATCCCAGATTCAAAGGATCCAGGTTTAGAGGTCCTGGGATATGGTGGAACATATTTTGCATGTGGGAGGAATGTGAGCAACTGTGGCTGCAGCACAGACTATAGGTTGAAAACTAGCCACTAGCCGCATATTATTCCCCTCCTCTCAAGTGATAGAATCTATTTTTCTTTTTCTTTTTTTTTTCTTTCCTTTTTTTTTTTTTATTTGAGATGGAGTCATGCTCTATTGCCCAGGCTGGAGTGCAGTGGTGTGATCTCAGCTCACTACAACCTCTGCCTCCTGGGTTCAAGTGATTCTCCTGCCTTAGCCTCCTGAATAGCTGGGATCACAGGCATCTGCCACCATGCCCAGCTACTTTTTGTATTTGTAGTAGAGATGGGGTTTCACCATGTTGGCCAGGCTGGTCTTGAACTCCTGACCTCAGGTGATTGCCCCATCTCAGCCTCCCAAAGTGCTGGGATTACAAGCATGAGCCACCATGTCCAGCCAGAATCTGTGTTTCTAACCCTTGATTTGGTGATGACCATGTGACTTATTTCATCCAAGTGGACAGAAGCAAGTGTGATGTAGGCAGAAGTATGAAAAGTGGTTGTACTTTGGGGCTTGCCTGCTTGCTATTCTTGAAACTGTTTGGCTGCTTTGTAAACAAGTCCAGACTAGCACTCTGGAGAGTGAGAGATCCATGTCAAGAGAGGCCCCTATCTTTCTAACCATCTCCAATAAAGCCATTCTAAAGTGACTGGTCCTAGATAACTCGCCAATCAACTGCAGACACATGAGTGAGCCCAGCTGGGATAGCCAAGATCAGCCTACAGCAGACGAGAAGAACTGTCCAGTTGAGCCCAGCTTTAATTGCTGAATTGCTAGACTGAAAAACCAAGGGCTAAATCAATGGTTATTGTCTTAAGGCACTACATTTTGGAGTGGTTTGTAAAAGAACCCATGCTTCCTGCTCTGTAGCCAGGAGGCTGTCCTGTACAGGTTGCATCAGTGGGTTCCCATGCTCTTTGCCTTTGGCCAGCAAGAAGATATTGAGACCGAGGCATTTGTTTCCCTGATTCTTATCCTGCTGGACTGTGGTTTGGCCACAGCCTCTGTCAATGGCTCTGTCCACAGCTCACTTTCAGGGTGCTAGCAATCACTCCTTTCCACGTCTATTCAGGTCCCTGGTGCTGCCAGCTCTGGGGTTCTTCAACATTCCTCAACACTCCCACACCTTTGTCTCTGCTCCGTTACCCCATTTGCATGGCCACCTGTGTCCCGAAAAGACCCTCACTGACTACTTTGTTCTGTGCACAATGAGCAGCTGAAGATTGTCCAGTAAATAGAAACATCCGGTTTAGGAAGAGTGAAACAGAGCTCCTGCTCTAACGGGTCCTGCTGTGGGCACCCCACAAATGCTGCCTTGGCTTGGGCATTTGGAAAGTCATGCTGGAGAATGAGGCTGCCAAGGAGCAACTTTTCCCAGCTGGCTCTCAGGAGCCATCTGGATCTTTGCTTTCTGCAGGGAGTAGTCATCACCCCCTTTCCTGCCAATTCCCCTAAGTTAAAGAATAAAAAATGAGCCCTTCCAGTGCCCCTGGCACCCTTCCTCTCCTTGACAGGATTTTTCTTGAGCACTTTTAGTCAAGCATTAGGCAGCGCATTAAGCAAATCAGGAAGTCAGTTTGGCTCCAGGACATTTGTTCAAAGGACCACAGCCTTGACCCATCTTTTCCACACAATCACCCATGCAGTTAGGACCCTCCAGTGACAGAACTCCCACCAGTGTCTGCCTCTGTGCAAGGCCTCATATGGTTAATAATAGTAATAATTAATGGTGGTGGTGGTGATGATGATGATGATGATAAATGGCAAGGCAAACTGAGAATCTGCCTCTTCCACCACCATGGCTATTACCTTTGACGGAGATGAATTTGGACCTCTGTGTCAAGTTCATACGGGAAGTTTGTAATGGAAGTCAGAGCTGGAATGAGGAAGCGTTAGTAGGGGTGATATATGTTTCTCATCTAGAAGGGTAGCACTTGGAAGGACATGTATCTCCTCAGTGGTGAGAAGTGTTTGATTCTAGCTACTTCAGGGCAGAATCAACCACACACAGCCCAGCTTGGAAGCCCTTTCCACCATTTTTCTCCACTGGCCCAGACACAGGATTAGCTGACCCCTCCCTTTGAGGGAGCCGCAGGTACTCAGAGTTGCTCTTCCTCTCTTGGTGGAGCAGTTAGAGCCACTTGGGGATGGAAGGCACTGACACTGCACATGTGAGGCTGTCCAATGGACAAGACACACTGTGGGACTTGGGAGACTGAGACTTGATTTTTTCCTGAAGAGATAAAGGACAGAATCCAGGTAGGGAAGAAGGGGATTTGGTAACATTTGAAGGGATGTTGAGAGGTTCATGTCTGCATTCACCTTTTGGGCAGGACAATTCTTTATTATGTGGTACCACCTTGTACATTCTAGGGTGGATTGTGTTCCTGATCTCAGTCCACTAAAGGCCAGTAGAGTCTCCCAGTCATTGTGACCATTAGAAATGGCTTATTCCTCTTCCAAGCACTCCTAGGATGGGCTGGAAGGACAATACCGTGCCTGGTTGAGAAACACTGGAGGGAGAGGGCTGCGGGAAGGGAGAAAGAAAGCAGAGAGCTAGGGAAGAAGGGAGATACGTGTGGGAAAGTTGGATCGCTAGTTTCCAAAGGCCTGGGGTACCCTCTCCTGAGAACTCTCACTCCCTTCTTTGACTCTGTGTGGCACATGACAGTGACAATGACCCCTGAGTACAGAAATACTTAAACCTTCAGTGGAGACTAGAGAAGATGAGGCAGTGAAGCAGGCGAGGCAGCATTTGGAACAGATAAGGGAAGTCTCCCTGATCAGTGATGGCCAGTGGCCTCCATTACCATGGGTTCCTGGGTGCCGAGGATCATCTATCTGAAGGCAAAGTCCTGAGTAGATTGAAGATAAGGTTCATCTCCTCAGTTTCCCCTAGCTCAGAAGACACAGTCTGAGGGGCAGAGGAAAGGAAGGACCTGGCCCCTGGGTTACAAGTTAAATTAACTCAGACTGATTCCTGCTGGTCCTGCCAGAAATGTTCTTCCGCCAGGTCTTGCATGGCTGGCTCCTTCTCTTAATTCAGGTCTTTGCTAAACTAGATCTCTCCTCCTTACTCCTCAAACCTCTATCCTTTATCCTAGTTTCTTTTCTTTTCTTTTCTTTTCTTTTCTTTTCTTTTCTTTTCTTTTGAGATGGAGTTTTGCTCTGTTGCCCAGGCTGGAGTGCAGTGGCATGATCTGGGCTCACTGCAACCTCTGCCTCCCGGGTTAAAGCGATTCTCCCACTTCAGCCTCCTGAGTAACTGGGACCATAGGCATCCACCACGCCTGGCTAATTTTTGTGTTTTTAGTAGAGAGGAAGTTTCACTGCCCATTTAGGTCCCCAGTGCTGCCAGCTCTGGGGTTCTTCAACATTCCTCAACCCTCCCACACCTTTGTCTCTGCTCCATTACCCCATTTGCATGGCCACCTGTGTCCTGAAAAGACCTTCACCGACTACTTTGTTCTGTGCACAATGAGCAGCTGAAGACTGTTTAGTAAACAGAAACATCCGGTTTAGGAAGAGTGAAACAGAGCTCCTGCTCTAAGGGGTCCTTCTGTGGGTGCCCACAAATGCTGCCTTGGCTTGGGCACTTGGAAAGTCACGCTTTCCAGTGATCAGCCTCCCAAATTGTTGGGGTTACAGGCATGAGCCACCACGCCCAGCCTCTAGTTTATTTTTTTCAAAGTACTTGTTAGTATCTTATGTTAGATTTTAAAAATTCATTTATTTACCTTTTATATAATTCTGCCCATCAGGGCAGTGGCTTGGTCTGTCACATTCACTTCTGGCATGTAATATGTGCTCAACGAATGAATAAGTGAATGGATTACTCAGTATGTGCCAGGTGCTGTGCTAAGTAATTTGCGTCCATTGTCTCATGAAAGTCTCAAGGATTCTTTAAGGTAAGTATTATATCATCTCCATGTTTTGCAGAAACCAAGACTTAGTGAGTTTAAGTAACCCCCCCAAGGTCATATAGCTATTCATTAAGTGGTGCAATAGGATTTGATTGACTCAAGTGCCCACAGTCTTGTAGGAAAACAAATACAAAGATATAAATCATTGTACTATAGGGAAGCAAATTCTAAATGTCCCAAGAGAAGAGCTGGATGCAGGACTATGGCAATTTAGGAGGGGACAAGTATTTTCAGTTGAAAGTGGGAATGAATTGGAGGAGGAGGTTAAATTTGAGCTGAGCCCTGGAGGATAGTATGATGGCTAATTTCCTGTGTCAGTTGGCTAGGTTATGGTGTCTAGTTATTTGGTCAAAATTAAATCAGCAGACTTTGAGTAAAGATAATCCTCCATAATGTGGATGAGCCTCATTCAATCAGTTGAGGGCCTTAAGGGAAATGTCTGATATTCCCTGACAAAAAAGGAACTTTGCCTCTAGAGTACCTTTGGACTCAAACTGCAACACCAACTCTTTCCTAGGTCTTCAGCCTACTGTCCTTCCCTGTAGGTTTTGGACTAGCCAGTCCCCAAAATCACATGAGTCAGTTCTTCAAAATAAATCTCTCTCTCTCTCTCTTTCTCTGTATAGATATATATGCATACACACATCCTACTGGTTCTGTTGCTGTGGAGAACCCTGACTAACACAGATGGACATTTAGGTGTTTAGGTGTGTGGAATTGGGGCAGGGAAAAGAACTGTGAGCAGGAGCTGGAGAGGCGTGGACGGAGCTGTAGTGATCTGGAGGCTCTGGAGCAGAAGATCACCATAGGGAGGGAAGTGGTGGGGTGGAGACCGCCCTGGACAGGAAGCTGGGGCCAGCATGTGGAGGGCAGGGAACGCCAGAATAAGGGTTTTAGGAACTCTCATTGTCTTAGGAAGTAGAAGATCCTTGAGTGACAAGGGTAAGACAACAGGGTCCACTCCCCATCAAAGGCCTCCGATGCTTCTCTTTCAGCAGGAAATCAACATTCAAGGGGAGACCCAATGAAGAAGATAGTGCCAGAACTTAATGGAGGCAGCCCAAGAGGAACGTGTACCTGGGGAAGTCAAGAGCTATTTCTTGGACATTTGTGCCTCTATTCCAAACTCTTCTCTCAGAGTAGATGACAACTCAGGAAGGAGCCAGAGATCTTCCTCAGTTGACTTGTTCAGAAATATGATTTGGGATTCAGTCTGGCCCGAAGCCATGCTTCCAGCCTCATCTCCACTGTGCACTTTCCATGGCGTTCTGTCTTGGTCCACTTGGCTTGTGTAGCTGCCTGGCCTGGGTTGTCCTCCCCACCCTTGTCTGCTTGGTGGCACTTGGCCCTGTTCTAATTGCTTCTGCTCGGGCAGCTTCTCTCCTCCCTCCTCTGTGCTCTGAGCACACTGGACAGATTCCTGTTAGAGCTGTCACTGTCTTCCTGCTGTCTGCCCACTGACCTTGGAGCTCCAGGAGGACAGGAGCCTTATCTTACCCCATGACATGGCCTATGCCCAGCCTGGTGCCAACGTGGTCTGGAGGTATCTGTAGGCTGAATGAAATTCTTCCCTCTGGGATGCCCTTTAAAGTTGTTTTCTTTCTGGAACCTGGGGCAGTGACTGGAATGGTTGGAATGTGGCCTTGGTTTGCCATTGGGTGTTTTGTTCCTCCGAGCATTGGCTGGACTCTCTGGTGATTTCTGGTCTTGAAGGACTTCCTGTTTTAAATGTCTGTGGGGTTGTGGTTCCCGAGCTGCTGCACTGTCTCCCATAACCTTTCTCTCTATCCTGGCCTGGTCTCTCTTCCACACCAGAACTTTCCTCTAGATCAATGGTCCAGGACCATCAGAACCAGTGAACCACACTCCTGACCATTCTCCAAATAGTCATTTGGCCAAATACGAGGTACGTGGCAGCTCTTTCTTTTCTGGACCCCACTTCACCTCTGAGCAGCTTCCTTCTCCCAGGAGCTGAAGCTCCCCCACGATGTCTCAATGCCAGGCAGATGCGCTTGACCTTCTGCCTCTTGGGGCCCTCACCAAGCTAAGGGATTTTAAATCATTCAACTAATGTATTACAGTGGGAAAGACACCCCACTAAGGGGCTCCACTAAATATCCTTTCCAGTTGATAAGATCATTTTTTTTTAATCCAGCTACAAACTCTTGAGTTTTAAACCCCATGAGTTATTTACCATACGCTTGTATCCCCTACAGTGATTTTTAAAGTGCCATGGCTGTTTCTCCACTGGCTGTGGAGTGAGCTGATGTTACTGCAGGTTGAGGTTGAGCCACTTTGCTTCACCGACAGTTCCAGGAGTCCTTTTGGGCACTGACTGTGGGTCCAGTCCTGAGCTGAGTGCACAGAGGACGGGGGAGGTTGAGGGAGTCAACACAACTCCGAGGTGTCCTTGTTCTCCAGGGGCTCTAGGTTCTGACCTGCACCCAGCCACAAGCTGACTTGAGTCAAAAAGTCACAAAGTGTGACTTGGGGTTTCCTATCCCAGGATCTTGGCCAGAGCTTCATTTGGAAGCCCCAGAGACCTGGACCAGACTTGCAGGTAGACATTCACCAATGCGTGATTTGAGGGCTGCTCAAAGGGACCTCCCCACTTCCCACATGGAGCACTCTCGGGATTAGCCATCACCGGAAACTCCTTTCCCGCAGGACAGAGCCCAGACAACTCATTCTGTCTTCAAAAGCCACCACTGTCTGGCACCAACCCACTTTTCCAAACTCCACCTCCTGCGACTTCAGCCACATGGAACAAGCATGGACTGATGTTCTCTATACCTTTCCAACTCCAGCTCTTGGCTTCTGCTCTTTTCTCTGCCAATGAGGCTGTGCTGTCTATTACTGAGTAACAATATTACCATATACTTAGCACCTTTAAACAATACACACTTATTATCTCATAATTTCTGTGGGTCAAGAATTCAGGTGTGGCTTAGCTGGGTCCTCTGAAAGGCTGCAATGAAGATGTCAGCCAGGACTGTGGTCTCAATCCAAGCTTCAGCTAGAGAAGGATCTGCTTCCCAACTTCGCATATGTTGGTAAGATTCAGGCTCTTGCAAGTGATCGGACCAAGGCCCCCAGTTTGTTGTTGGCTGTTGGCTGGAGGCTGCCCTCAGTTTCTAGCTGGTTGTGGGCAGTTGCCTTGAGTTCCTTGCCACATGAGCCTCCTCAACATGAATGCTTGCTTCTTCAAAGCTGGTGAGAGAGAGGCTCTTCTAATAAGATGGACTGTACAAGCTCACATTATGTAATCACAGAAGCAACAGCTGTCACCTTTGTTATACTTTATTGCTTAGCATCAAGTCACAATTCCTGCTGATACTCAAAAGGTAGGGATTACATCAGGGCGTGGGCACCAAGAGGTGGGGATCATGGGGCCACTTTAGCCTCTGTCTCCACCCATCTCCTTCTCCCAACCTCCCTGTCCACTCTAGAAACAGCAACCTAGTAAAATTCATGAAAGCTTCCCTTAGTCACCTCAACCACAGGGCTTTGCTTACATCGTTCTTTAGTACTTCATTCATTTATTCAACAAAATACATATTGAGCATCTGCCGTATGCCTGGAGCTAGAGGTAGTATAGTATAATGGTTAAGGCTTCAAGTTCTGGAATCAGAGTCTCTTGTTCCAAATCCTGGGTCTCCACTTCATGCTGGGTCTCAATAAACTCATCTCTAAATAACACTAGGAGATTTGTAAGTTTGAAGGTTAATTTTATGTGTCAACTTTCCTGGGTCATGGGGTGCCCAGGTATGGGGTCATACATTATTGTGGGTATTTTTGTAACATTTAATGTTAATCTCATCCAAAATTAATAATAAGGTGAGTGGGCTTTATCCAGTAAGTTGAAGTCCTGTGTGGAACAAAAGTCTGACCCTCCCCCTAGTAAGAGAGAATTCTTCCTATTTGGTGGCCTTTATCAGAACTTCCTGGTTCTATGGCAGCTGTCATCCTTCTGACTTGAACCGGAACATCAGCTCTGCAGATTTTGGACTTGCCAGTCTCCATAACTGTATAAGTCAATTCCTTATACTAAATCTCTTTTTATATATCCCCTATTGGTTCTGTTTTTCTGGAGAACTTGACTCATACAGTTAGGCTAAATGAAATCACACATGTAGAAAACAGCATGGAGCTGGGCTCCTAGTAAGAAATCAATGAAGATTAAATTTTATTTTAGGGGCTGGAGAACCAGTAATGATTCAGTGGGCTGTTGTCCAGCCTTCATGGAGCCCATGCAGCCTTTCTCATGAGTGATTGCGTGTGTGCCGTACCTCCCCAGCAGGGCTCCAGGGACGTGTCTGAGAGCAGATCACACTGTTTGTCTTCTCTGTCACCTGCCTTGCCCCTAGCTTGGGTCTGGAACACTCAGGGCTTCAGTGACTGGGCGCAGGATGGATGCCCTCCAACCCAACACCCCTTGGCAGTATGCCATCGGCAACAGGGCAAATCTACTTGATGCCAGTCCTCACGCCCCCTCCGTGCAGCCAGCCACGCTGGTTTTCCAGCTTCCACATTTGTCATGTAGTGTGCTCAGATGCTCCGTTCTTCCTCTTCATTCTGTGGATGAGAAATTATGGCCAACCAAGAGTTCTGCCTTCCTCCTTCCGTGCTTGCTGCTTGATGAAAGTGGGTTGCTAGTGTGTCATGTGGATACATTTCTCAGTCTGAGAACACAGGGAGTGGTGCTGAGAGTGAGTGGGCAGAGGGTGAAGGGTGGTGCCTGGGAGGGGAGAGCTAGAGCCTCTGAAACCACATGGTGGACATTTGCCTTTGATTGTTTGCTTGCCCGGAATCTGACCTGTGCTCTCCTACGTTGTGAGAATCCTCACTGTGTGCGTCTTACTGGGAGGCAGGGCTCTGTCATACACAGTGAAAGCCAGAGGCCCAGACTGCCCTTTCTCTAAGTGCTGGCATCCAGGGCCTGGGCACTAAGGCAGATTTGGTTTTAGGCTGCTGGCTTGGGTTAGTTTAGGATAACTCTGGTTATTTCGGGTTATTGCAGAAGTCCTAGACAGATTGGAGAGATCAGCCCATCAAGTATATGCTGATCTGGGGTTCATAGAGAATCCAAAACAGTATACTCTCTGCAGTCAACATTTTCTCAGCTCAGACTTTGCTTCCCAACATCCTTTTATTTCTTTTTTGTAGGGAAGCTGAGGGAGAGGGTAAAACTGCAATTAGCTGCCTGCCCTTACTGTCTGGGCCTGTACCCAGCTCATCGGGACTGTGTTCGCAGTGTTCACATGGTAAACGTGTCACCAGGGGCAAACTGCAGCCTCAAAGGCAGGGAGTGGGATAGGAAAACTGGGCTATAAATAAGTCAGAAAAGCAGCTTTTTGAAAAAGGAGTGGCTACTTACAAAACTTAGGATTCTCGAACTGGAAAGAACCTTGGAAATTTAGAAATGGAATCAGAGTTGGAATCTACCTCAGGAGTTTAGGCCAATTATGCGAATTCCTTTCTTTTTGGAGTGATTGGCTGAGGCGTGGGAATATGACTTCACCCTAGCCAATGAGATGGAAAGGGGAGCCTGGGAGGACATCTGGGAATGTTTCCTTCATTCATAAAAAAAAATACCAAATACTTGCTTTTTCCTATATCTGAGTGCGTTTGTATGAGGGAATGTCACCTGCAGCCGTGGGTGCCATCTTGGACCAGGAAGGGGAACCCAAGAAAATCCCAGATAAGCTAACCCGGAACTCACCCAATTTAAAGACTCACCTTCAAGCAGACTTCAAAATCCCGATACAATACATTCCTTGACTTTGTCTGACTCCTTCCTGGACACCCCTAAGACTCAGTGGAAGTAGCACTCTCCCTTGCTGAGGTAAGAATAAATACAGTTGTTTCTTATCAACAGGTTGCTTTGGTGATTTTTGGGGAGCCAGCATTAGACACCAGCAAACAATAGGAAAAATTAGTGGGATGTTGTCCAGGCTTCATGGAGCTCATGCAGCCTTTCTCATGAGTGATTACGTGTGTGCTTTACCTCCCCAGAGGGACTCCCTCGTCTCCCTCATTTACTCTGGCTTGTAGGGGAAGATCATGCTCCAGCCCTTTGAGTTGCCATGTGTCTTCCTTCCACAGTTTCCAAGGGGCCTCCGGGGGCCTGTCTCCTTTCACACTCTCTTGTCTTCTTGCAACTTGGACTTTTCTCCCTGGAGCTGGAGAAAGGAGAAGCCATAGAATTGCCTGACCTGCCCACCCCCCACCCTTCCCACCCTTCCCCACCCTCGTTCATGTGATACCGTTTCTTTTACTCAAATGCTTTTTTTCTCTCTCCCAATACACAGATGATGGAATATAGGAATACCGGTAGACACATAGGCAGAGATTGCTTTTTCATCCCAGGAGGCTCAGCATTTTCCCACTCAGTTATTGAGCTTTTACAAGCCGCTGTTCAGGATGGTCAGACTCAGTTTTTTAGCACACCAGTAATTGCTTCTTTCTTTTTTCTTGGGGAAATTTTAGGCCACACTTTCTGTAGCAGCCCATGCTCCAATTGGACTAGCTGTGGAACAATTAGTTTCATAAATGAATGTGTCTGGAAAATGGATTCCAAAGTCCTCTGTCTGGTGTGTGACCTTGAGCTGTGTGATCTTGGACGAGTCCCTTTTTTTTTTTTTTTTTTTTGTGAGCCCAGGTTCCTCCTCTGTCAAAGAGAGAGTTGGGCTAGATGATCTCCGAGGGCTCTATGGCTCCTTGAGATCCTGCAGTTCATTGATTCTATGCCTCAAGGGGAAAGCATTTAGAGGGAAATGATTTGTTTTTAATTATAGAAACAAAACACGCTTCTTATTGTAAAAATTAGAACAAGTCAAAAGTATGCAAAACCTAACACATTGGTGTTCCTTCTTTGCTCCATAAATTCCCCTAGAGAGAGTCTTTTGGGGGCAGTATTTGCCAAGAGCACTCAGTGCCTGCTTTTTGATGATGTTGACACCAATGACTTCCAATTCACTGAGATAACTAAGGGCTGTTTTGAGAAGCAACTGTTTGTGTTCTTATCGTTTCCCTTTCCTTTGGAGGAAAATTGCAGAAGTTTTTTTGTGTTGTTTAAGGGTTGCAAAGCTCTGCTGCCTGTGACCACGCCTATGTCTTTGTCAGAAAATAGGACACATAATCCTGGCCTTAGCCCAAGACTCAGATTTGTGAGGTGCGTGTCTTCAGGAGGGCCTGTGACCAGGGTGCTGACTGTCCCACAGAGCCATGGGCTGGACACGCAGGTCCAGAGATTAGGTCCTAGCACAACAATATTGATCTCAGCACTTTAGTCTTCCTATAAACATGAACATTACCTTGTTATGTGTGTCTAAAGTTTTAATCAATTGCAGTTGGACTCTGTAGCAGAGAACTGAGAAAATACCAAGTGTTGGAGAACAACAATGAAAAGCACTTTTATTACCTGCCATTCTGGGGAAGCAGCCCATTAGGGAGACATAGATCAAGGGCATTGGCTACCAAAGTTCTCAGCCACATGCTTAATCCCTTAGATTACAGCTCATAGCTGCCTCAATGAGGGTCAGACCCGAGGAAGGAAGATAAATAGAATCCAGTGTGGCCCCAGGAAATTTGGGCAGGGCCATGCAGATGTGGGTGTGAGGTGAGGCTCAGTGTTGAGGAAGGGGTCGGGCGGGGAGAGTTGTATTCAAGGAAGGGGGATGTATTAAACTGTTTCTCCTCACCAGAGAGCAGAGGGAAGGAAGAGAGTAGAAGGCTGATGGGGCATTCTAAGGGTTAGATAGGGAAACTGATGGAGTGACAGTTGGCTGAACCTGGCCCATGGTGGAGAGCAGGCCAAGCCACACAGCCAGCCCCTGCCTCGATCCTTGAAGGCCCTGGAGAAGCTCACTGGGGTTAAAGAAGCAGGGGGCAAGGCCAGGCGCCATGGCTCACGCCTGTAATCCTAACACTTTGGGAGGCCGACGTGGGCGGATCACAAGGTCAAGAGATCGAGACCAGCCTGGCCAACATGGTGAAACCCCATCTCTACTAAAAATACAAAAATTAGCTAGACATGGTAGCGCATGACTGTAGTCCCAGCTACTCAGGAGGCTGAGGCAGGAGAATCGCTTGAACCCGGGAGACGGAGGTTGCAGTGAACCGAGATGGCACCATTGCACTCCAGCCTGGCAACAGAGCAAAACTCCATCTCAAAAAAAAAAAAAAAAAAAAGAAGCAGGGGGCAAAAAGTACAAGATGTTAAAAGACTGTGCCATAATACTACTAACTCATTCATTCAGTTACTCAGTCATTCATTTGTCTACCCAACAAATGTTTATTAAGCCCTTTCTATATGCCAGATGCTGTGCTAGGCCCTGGGGATATAATGGTAATAAGACAGCTGTGTCTCCTGCTCTTATGAAGGCTGCAGTCTAGTGGAGGAGATTGCGGTTGAATTAATTCCAAGGTGAAAGGCCAGGCAGAGGGGCGGCAGTAGAGAGGGTGGGGGCCTGGGGGCCTGGGCAGGGTCAGAGAGTGACCAGTACTGCAAGCAAGAGGGCAGAGGGAGTAGGTGCTTGTGAGGTGTAAACAGTATGAGGTGGCCTTGGGAAGGTTGTGGGGCAATCCTAGGGAGGCATGGTGGTCCTAGGGCAGGGCTGCAGCTTCTGGAAGAGTCTGACAGGTGTACCCTGCCAGAACTGGTCCTGGATTGGACCTGTGGGAATGGAGAGGGAGGGGTGATGATGATTGACCTCTGGGTTATGGCTTGGGGGTCTCACAGGATGTTAAGATGGGAGGTGGGGATGGGGTGAGGGTGGGGAGGAGTGGCACAGAGATGCTGCCCTAGTCACAGCTCCAGGTTGCACAGTCCCATGGCCCCGATTCCAAAATTGGAGGCGCTTCAGGTTGAAAGCACCTCCTCTCTGCAAAGCCCCAGGGAGACAAGAGGCTAGCAGTCTCTCTGCTCTTCCTGAGGATTAATTCATTCTGAATGTTTTCTTCTCAAGAATGAATTGAGATAACCAAAATTAGGAATTGGAATTTGAAAGGGGAGACTTCAGGGCACTTCCTTAAAAGGAAGGGAAGGTGAAGTGGATGGAAGATACCAGGAGTGACAGGGAGTGGGACAGTGCAAAGAATTTGAACAACCTCTAGGAAAATCTATTTTTTCTATGATCTCACCTGGCACTGGATATTCTCTGTGCTGTTTCCTCACCTGTAAAATGGAGGCAGCAATGTCATCTCACAGGACTGTGGTGAGAATTAAATCATAACCCCAAGCCCTTGAAGTACAGCATGGACTTAGTAAATGTTAGCACCCATCCTTCATGCTTGGCCTCCACCAGCCCCTGTGGAATAAAGGATATTATGAATTGCCCTGGCTCACCTTGGGGACCAAGAGAGAGAAGTATGCGGAAGTCCTTGGCAACCTGCACACACAGGTATACTTATCATTGAGATGATGGCGATTAATGACAACAATTTTCGTGAAATGTCACCCGAAGGGCCAGTAGGCTTGTAAGTAGCAGGGACAGCTGAGATCCCCATAGCAACTGTCTTCCCTATGCAACAAATACGGGTGGGAAACAGTGCAACTGTCTAGAGAGAGCTTGGGCGGTGGTCAGAAGGACTTGGAATTGAATCTTGACTCTGCCACCATGAGCTGCGTGACCTTATGAAACTACTTAATGTCTCTGTGTCTTATTTCTTCATCTGAACAACATAGATAATGCCATCTAGCTCACAGGCTGTCACCAGCAAGAGACCTAGTATGTAGAACTTCCAGTGCACAGCAGGCAGAATAGCATCGTGTAGGGTCCAGGTTAAGGAGTGACTTAAGTTCATGGGGCCTCAGGGTCCTCAGCTGTGAAATGTGGATGTTAATAGTAGCTACTTCCTAGAGTTTGTTGATTAAACACATCATGTAAGGAAAGCACATAGAACAATGCCCAACAGTCATTGTTAGTTATCAAAGTAGGTGCTCCAGATGGCTCTTCCCTCATCGCAGGCCTCTTCTGACTCCCACCTGCGACATTTACCCATGGGAAGGAGGCTCCTTTAGTACAGGAGTTTCCTGGAATCCAGAGAGGGTTTTTGTCCCATCTCATGGTCCCTGTAGGGAGCAGTATGAAAATTGTTAGAGAGGTAAGGCTGAACTCAGAATCTTCTGGTAGCCTTGACAAAGCCAGTGGTGCTTTTATGAATCTTAGGCCTTTCCCTCCTGTAGGTGGAAGGGATATTAGCCCGGGTTCTCTAGAGAAACAGAACCAACAGGGTGTGTATATATACATCTGAGAGAGAGAGAGAAAGAGAGAGAGAAAGTGGCGTAGGCTGGCAGGCTGGAGATCCAGGAAAGAGTCTGAGTCCAAAGGCAGCCTGCTGGGAGAATTCCTTCTTGCTCAAGGGAGGTTAGTTTTTGTTCTATTCAAACCTCCAGCTCATTAGATGAGGCCCACCCATGTTATGGAGGGTAATTTACTCAAGGTCCGCTGATTTAAATGTTAATCTCATCACAAAAACACCTTCACAGAAACACCCAGAATAATATTTGACCAAATATCCGGGCACTATGGCCCAGCCAAATTGACACATAAAATTAGCTATTGCATCTTCCTCACACTTCTTTTTTTTTCTTTAATTAAAAAAATTGAAGTTGATGCATGGTATTTGTATCTATTTGTGGGGTATACAGGCAATTTTGTTACATGCGTACTATGTGTAATGGGCAAGTCAGGGTATTTAGGATATCTCCATCACCTCAAGTATTTATCATTTCTATGTGTTGGAAAATTTCAAATCCTCTCTTCTAGTTATTTTGAAATATACAATACATTGTTGCTAACTATAGTCACCCTACTCTGCTACTGAAGAGTGGAACTTATCCCTTCTATCTAACCCTATGCTTATATCCATTAGCCAACCTTTCTTCATTCCCACCCTCCCCAATGCACATAGCTTTCCCAGCCTCTGGGATCTATCATTCTACTCTCTTATCTTCATGAGATCAATCTTTTTAGCTCCTACATGTGAGTAAGAACATATGATATTTGTCTTTTTGTGCCTGGCTCATTTCACTTAACATAATGACCATCAGTTCCATCCATGTTGCTGCAAATGACAGAATTTCATCCTTTTTTTATGGCCTAATAGGATTCCACAGTGTATATTTATGTATACCACATTTTCTCTATCCTGTCATCCATTTGATGGACACTTTGGTTGATTTCATGTATTTGCCATTGTGAGTAGTGATGCAATAAACATGAGGTGCAGGTATCCCTTTCATATACTGATTTCTTTTCCTTTGGATAAACACCTAGTAGCGTGATTTCCGGATTGTATGGTAGTTCTATTTTTAGCTTTTGAGAAATCTCCATATTGTTTTCCATAGTGGCTGTACTAATTTACATTCCCGCCCGCAGTGTATGAGTTCCCTTTTCTCCACATCCTTGCCAGTATCTGTTACTTTTTATATTTATAGTAATAGCCATTCTAACTGGGATGAGATGATATCTCATTGTGGTTTTGATTTGCATTTCTCTAATGATTAGTGGTGCTGAGCATTTTTTCATATACCTGTTAGCCATTTGTATGTCTTCTTTTGAGAAATGTCTGTTCAGATCACATGCCCATTTTCTAATGGGATTATTTGTTTGTTTGTTTTACTGTAGAGTTGCTTCAGTTCCTTGTATATTCTGAATTTTAGTCCCTTGTCAGATGAATAGTTTGCAAATATTTTCTCCCGTTCAACAGATTATCTCTTCATTCTGTTGCCATTGCTGTGTGGCAGCTTTTTAGTTTAACGTAGTCCCATTTGTCTATTTTGGTTTTTGTCACCTGTACTTTTGAGGTCTTAGCCATAAAATCTTTGCCTAGATCAATGTCCTGAAGTGTTTCCCCTATGTTTTCTTCATGACTTTTATGATTTCAGGTCTTACATTTAAGTCTTTAATCCATCTTGAGTTGATTTCTGTATACGGTAAGAAATAGAGGCCCAGTTTTAATCTTCTGCATATGAATATCCAATTTTCCCAGCACCACTTATTATAGAGGGTACCCTTTCCCAAGTGTGCGTTTTTGGTGCCTTTGTCAAAAATCAGTTGGCTGTAAATATGTGAATCTATTTCTGGGTTCTCTATTCTGTTCCGTTGGCCCATATGTCTGTTTTTATATCAACACTATGCTGATTTAGTTACTATAGCCTTGTAATATATTTTGAAGTCAGATAGTGTGATGCCTCCAGCTTTGTTCTTTTTTTTGAGACAGAGTCTCACTCTGTCACCCAAACTAGAGTTCAGTGGCACGATCTTGGCTCACTGCAACCTCTGCTGCCTAGGATCAAGCAATTCTTGTGCCTCAACCTCCTGAGTAGCTGGCACACACCACCATGCCCAGCTACTTTTTGTATTTTTAATAGAGAGAGAGTTTCACCAGGTTGGCCAGGCTGGTCTCAAATTCCTGACCTCGAGTGATCTGCCCACGTTGGCCTCTCAAAATGCTGGGATTACAGGCATGAGCCATCATGCCCGGCCCCAGCTTTGTTCTTTTTGCTCAGGATTATTTTTGCTATTCAGGCTTTTTAATTTAATTCCATATGAATTTTAAGATTGTTTTGTCTATTTCTGTGAAAAATGACATTGTATTTTGGTAGGGATTGCATTGAATCTGTAGATCGCTTTGGGTATTATGGTCTTTTTTTTTTTTTTTTTTTTTTTTTTTTTTTTTTTTTTTTTTTGAGACGGAGTCTCGCCCTGTCGCCCAGGCTGGAGTGCAGTGGCGCCATCTCGGCTCACTGCAAGCTCCGCCTCCCGGGTTCACGCCATTCTCCTGCCTCAGCCTCCCGCGTAGCTGGGACTACAGGCGCCCGCCACCACGCCTGGCTAATTTTTTTGTGTTTTTTAGTAGAGACGGGGTTTCACTGTGTTAGCCAGGATGGTCTCGATCTCCTGACCTCGTGATCCGCCCGCCTCGGCCTCCCAAAGTGCTGGGATTACAGGCGTGAGCCACCGCGCCCGGCCTATGGTCATTTTTAAAAAATTATTTATTTATTTATTTTTTGAGAGGGAGTCTCACTCTGTCCTCCGGGCTGGAGTGCAATGGCATGATCTCGGCTTACTGCAACCTCTGCCTCCCAGGTTCACACCATTCTCCTGCCTCAGCCTCCTGAGTAGCTGGGACTACAGGCGCCCCCCACCACGCCTGGCTAATTTTTTGTATTTTTAGTAGAGACGGGGTTTCACCCGTGTTGGCCAGGATGGTCTCTATCTCCTGACCTCATGAGCTGCCCTCCTCGGTCTCCCAAAGTGCTGGGACTACAGGCATGAGCCACCGTGCGTGGCTGGGTAGTATGGTCATTTTAACGATAGTAATTTTTCTGGTCCATGAGCATGGGATGTCTTTCCATGTGTTTGTGTCCTCTTCAATTTCTTTCTTCGGTGTTTTGTAGGTTTTCTTGTAGAAGTCTTTCACTTCCTTGGTAAATTTATTCCTAGCTATTTTATATTTGTTTGTTTGTTTGTTTGTTTATTGAGGTAGAGTGTTGCTCTGTCACCTAGGCTGGAGTGCAGTGGCATGATCTCAGTTCACTGCAACCTCTGCCTCCTGGGCTTAAGGGATCATCCCACCTCAGCCTCCCAAGTAGCTGGGACTACAGGTGCTTGCCACCACATCCAGCTAATATTTTAAATTTTTTGTAGAGATTAGGTCTTGTTATGTTGCCCAGGCTGGTCTTGAGCTCCTAGGTTCAAGTGATCCACCTGCCTTGGCCTCCCAAAGTGCCAGGATTACAGGCACAAGCCACCGTGCCCGGCCCACGCTGGTCTATTTTTTTGTAGCTAGTTTTTTGGTAGCTATTGTAAATGGGATTGCCATCTTGATTTCATGTCAGCAGTTTATTATTGGTATATAGAAATGCTATTGAGTTTTGTATGTTGATTTTGTATCTTGCAACTTTACTGAATTTATTCATCGGATCTAAGGGTTTTTTTGTGGAGTTTTTAGGTTTTTCTAGGTATAAGATAATGTCATCCTCAAAAAGGGACAATTTGACTTTCTCATTTTCGGTTTAGATGCATTTTATTTCTTTCTCTTGACTGATTTCTTTGGCTAGGACTTTCAGTACTATGTTGAATAGGCATGGTGAAAGTGGGCATCCTTGTCTTGTTCCAGTTCTTAGAGGAAAGGCTTTTATGTTCTCCCCATTCAGCATGATGTTAGCTGTGGGTTTGTCATATATGGCCTTTATTATATTGAGGTATGCTCCTTCTATGCCTACTTTGTTGAGAGTTTTTTTCATGAAGTGACGTTGGATTTTATCAAATGTTTTCTCTGCATCTGTTGAGATGATCTATGGTTTTTGCTCCTCATTCTGTTGATGTGATGTATCACATTTATTGATTTGTGAATGTTGAACCATACTTCCACCCTGGGAGAAATCCCACTTGATCATAGTGTATTATCTTTTGATGTGCTGTTAGATTCAGTTTGCTAATATTTTCCTGAGGATTTTTGCATTATGTTCATCAGGGATATTGGCTTGTAATTCTCTTTTTGTGTTGCATCCTTTCCTGGTTTTGGTATCAGGGTAATGCTGGCCTTGTAGTATGAGTTAAGGAGGAATCTCTCCTTTTCAATTTTTTGGGAATAATTTGAGAAAAATTGGTATTAGTTCTTCTTTGTAAGTTTGGCAGAATTCAGCAGTGAAGCCATCTGGTCCTGGGCTTTTATTTTTTGGAGACTTTTCATTACTGATTCAATCTCATTCCTTGTTATTGGTCTGTTCAGATTTTCTATTCCTTTCTGATTCAACCTTGTTGGGTTGTATGTGTCCAGAAATTTATAAATTTCTCCTAGGTTTTCTAGTTTATCAATGTATAGTTGTTCATGATAGTTTCTGATGATCTTTTGTATTTTAATGGTATCTGTTGCAATGGCTCCATTTTCATTTGTGATTTTATTTATTTAGGCCTTCTTTCTTTTTTCTTGGTTAATCTAGCTAGCAGTTTATCAGTTTTGTTTATCTTTTTAAAGAAGCAATTTCTTGTTTTATTGATCCTTTGTATTATTTTATTAGTCTCTATTTAATTTAGTTTTTTCTCTGATCTTTATTTTTTTTCTTCTACTAATTTTGGGTTTGGGTTGTTCTTGCTTTTCTAGTTCTTTGAGGTACATTGTTAGATTATTTATTTGAAATCTTTCTACTTTTTTGATGTAGGAGTTTTTTGCTATAAACTTCTCTCTTAACACTGCCTTTGCTATATTCCATAAGTTTTGGTATGTTGTGTTTTAACATTCATTTGTTTCAAGAAAATTTGAATTTCCTCCTTAAGTTCTTCCTTGATCCAATGATCATTCAGGAGTATGCTGTTTAATTTTCATGTGTTTGTACAGTTTCTAAAGTTCCCGTCATTGTTGGTTTCTAGTTTTATTCCATTGTGATCTGAGAAAATGCTTGATATGATTTTGATTTTTAAAATTTTTTTGGGCCAGGCGCAGTGGCTCACGCCTGTAATCCCAGCACTTTGGGAGGCGGAGGTGGCAGGATCACAAGGTCAGGAGATCGAGACCATCCTGGCTAACACAGTGAAACCCCGTCTCTACAAAAAGTACAAAAAATTAGTCAGGCGTGGTGGCGGGCACCTGTAGTCCCAGCTACTCGGGAAGCTGAGGCACGAAAATGGCGTGAGCCCGGGAGGCGGAGCTTGCAGTGAGCCGAGATTGTGCCACTGCACTCCAGCCTGGGCGACAGAGTGAGACTCTGTCTTAAAAAAAAAAAAAAAATTGTTGAGACTTGTTTTGTGTCCTGACATATGGTCTGCCTTGGAGAATGTTCCATGAGCTGGTGAGAAGAATGTGTATTCTGTAGCTTCTGTATTAAATATTCTGTAAATGTCTTTGGTTTCATTTGGTTTAAAGTGCAGTTTAAATCCAATGTTTTTTTTTTTTTAAATATTCTGTCTAGATAATCTGTCTAACACGGAGAATTGAGTATTAAAATCTCCAGTTATTATTGTATTGGAGCATATGTCTTTCTTTAGATCTAATAATATTTGCTTTATGTAACTGGGTGCTCTGGTGTTTGGTACACATCCATTTAGAATTATTATATCCTCTTATTGAAATGATTCCTTTAGCATTATATACTGACTTTCTTTGTCTCTTTTTATTGTTTTCGACTTTAAGACTGTTTTATCTGATATAAGTATAGCTAATCCTGCTTGGTTTTGGTTTCTGTTTGAATAGGTGTCTTCTTGTATACCTTTACTTTCACTCTATATGTGTCTTTACAGGGCAGATGAGTTCCTTGTAGGAAGCATATGGTTGGGTCATATTTTTTTTACCCATTTAGTCAGTCTGTATCTTTTTTTTTTTTGAGATGGAGTCTCACTCTGTCACCCAGGCTGGAGTGCAGTGGCGTGATCTTGGCCCACAGCAAGCTCCACCTCCCAGGTTCATGCCATTCTCCTGCCTCAGCCTCCCGAGTAGCTGGGACTAAAGGCCCCCACCACCACACCTGGCTAATTTTTTGTATTTTTCTAGTAGAGACGGGGTTTCACTGTGTTAGCCAGGATGGTCTCAATCTCCTGACCTCATGATCCACCCGCCTCAGCCTCCCAAAATGCTGGGATTACAGGTGTGAGCCACCGTGTCTGGACCAGTCTGTATCTTTTAAGTGGAAAGTTTAACTTGTTTACATTCAAAGTTATAGTGATGTGTGAGGGCTTATACCTGTCATTTTATTAATTGATTTCTGCTTGTTACATATATCCTTTGTTCTTCCCTTTATCTCTTATTGCTTGTCATTGTACTTTTTTTGTGGTAACATTTTAGTCTTCTCCTTATATGTGTGTTTGCTCTACCAATGGTTTTATACTTTTGTGTGTTTTCCTTTTTTTTTTTTTTTGAGATGGAGTCTTGTTCTGTTGTCCAGGCTGGAGCGCGATCTCGGCTCACTGCAAGCTCCGCCTACCGGGTTCATGCCATTCTCCTCCCTCAACCTCCTGAGTAGCTGGGACTACAGGCGCCCACCACCACGCCTGGCTAATTTTTTGATTTTTAGTAGAAATGGGGTTTCACTGTGTTAGTCAGGATGGTCTTGATCTCCTGACCTTGTGATCCGCCTGACTTGGCCTCTGAAAGTGCTGGGATTACAGGTGTAAGCCACTGTTCCCAGCCTCTTTTGTGTGCTTTCATATGGTAGGTATCATTCTTTTACTTCCAGGTGTAGGACTTCCTTAAGCATTTCTTATAGGGTCTGTCCAGTGGTGATGAATTCTCTGAGATTTTGCCTGTCTGGGAAATACTTTATTTCTCCTTCATTTATGAAGGATAACTTAGCTGGGTACAGTATCTCTGCCTGACAGGATTTTTTTCCCCCAGCACTCTGAATATATCATTACAGTATCTCCTGGCCTATAAGGTTTCTGCTGAGACATTATTGTTAGTCTGATGGGGGTTCCCTTTTAAGGGACTAGATGCTTTTCTCTGGCTGTTTTTAGAATTCTCTCTTTGTCTTTGACTTTTGACAGTTTGACTATAATGTGCCATGGAGAAGACCTTTTTGAATTTTATCTATGTGGGGATCTCTGAGCTTCCTGTAACAGGATGCTTAAAATCTCTTGCTACACTTGAAAATATTTCAGCTATTATTTTTCTAAATAGAGTTTCTTCTGAGACACTGAATTTTCAGTGTCTCAGCAAACAAAGAGTTGGTCAAAGAAGACAAGTAGTTGATCATTTTATGGTGTCCCATATGTCACATAGGCTTTGTTAATTCTTTTAAATTCTTTTTTCTTTATTTTTGTTTGACTGGGTTATTTCAAAAGACTTGCCTTCAAGTTCTAAAATTCTTTCTTCTGCTTGACCTAGTCTATTGTTGAAGCTTTTGAATATACTTATTCATTCAATGAATTCTTCAGTTCTAGGGTTTCTGTCTGGTTCTTTTTTTAAAAAATATGTATATCTATCTCTTTAGTAAATTTCTCATTTATCTCCTGAATTATTTTTTTCTGATTTATTTGTATTATTTATGTGTTCTCTGGTATCTCGCTGAGCTTCTTTAGCATCATTATTTTGAATTCTTTTCCCGTTATTTCAAAGATTTTTTTTTCACTGGAATCTGTTGCTGGAGAATTATTATGTTACTATGTTACTATGGAGATGTCATATCTTCTTTCTTTTTCATGTGTCTTGTGCTCTTACATTGATATCTGCACATTTGATGTAACAATTACTTCTTCCAGTTTTCTGGGTTTGCTTTTGTAGTGGAAGACTTTTTCCTAAAAACGTATCTATGGTGTTGATTGGATAGGCCACTTTGGCTTTTATTCTGTTTGTATGCAGTAGAGTAGTTTCCAAGTAATTTCTTCAGCTGTAAACAGCATTAGTGTTGTCTGTGATTTCCTCAGTGGCTTATGGTGAGTTTATTAGTGGAGACTGTGTTGAAGTTTTGTGCACACAGGGACACCAAGTGGGCTAGTCCTTGGGTCCCAGTTGTGGCAGTGGTGGGCCAAGCGTGCCTGTTCTTGGACCCCAGGGTGGTGTATGCTGACACCAGTGTTAGGGGATCTAGCCAATTCTTGGGCCTCTAGGTGCCTTGCTTAGGTGCTGGCAGTGGCAGTGGTGGGCTGAGCAGGTAGGTGGGCCCTTGGGCCCCTGGGTAGCAGCTGTGCATGGGCAGTGGCAGTAACAGTGGAGACAGCCCCCTGGATCCTAAGCATTTCATGCTGGTGTTAGCAGTGGCTAAAATTGGGTGGTCAAGCCAGTCCTTAGGCCTGTAGGTGGCTTGTGTGGGTGGATGCCAGCTGTGGTGGTAGTGGCAGGTTGGGTGGGCCCAACTTTGGGCCCCTGGTAGGAGTGCTCAGGTGACAACAGTGGTGGATGAAGCTTGGAAATTCCCAGGCTCCTGGACGGCATGCTCAGGCCCTGGGTGGCGGGTGGAACCAGACTGTCTGGGCAGGTCCTCAGGCCCTCAAAGGGTATGTGCAGGCACTGGCTGTGGTAGGCAGAGGTGGGATGATCTTTGGGCCCCTGGAAGAATGCTTAGGTGGGAATGACAGTGGCTGCACTGAGGTCCTGTTACTGGTGAGAGTGGGGTTGCTTTCAGTAGCAGCAGCCATAGGCAGCCCCACTGCTGAAGGTAGTGGGGTTGCTGCCAGTGGCTCATGTTTTAGCCCTGGCAGCAGCAGCCAGCAGCAGTGGAGGCTGCAGGTGGGGGATATCAGTGAGACTCCAGGGATGTGGAGATGCAGGGGCTGTTGGGCTTCTGGGCACATGCAGTCTGGTGGGAGCTGGGTGCTCCAAATGGTGCCATGCTATAGCTGTTTAGGACAGCTAAGGGGGTGTGGGACCCAGTGTGAGCTCCCTTTCTGGAGCAATATCATTGTGCAGTCTCCAGGCAGCCCATTTCAGTTAGTCTCGGGGCCGGCAGGAGTTGAGAGTCTCTCCTGTGGCTAAGGTTGCAAGAGTCGAAGGTGGGAATGCAGACTACTGGGGATCCCTCACTTACCCTTTCCCCATATTGCGGATCCTCTCCCAGCTTCCAGCCTATCCTGCTTCCCTCTCCTTCCTCGCCTCAGGTGTTTTCTGTCACTTCTTGTTGAATTCCCGTGTTCTGTCTTAGATGATTTATTGGAAGCATGATTATCTACTTGCTGTGTTGGTTCCTCTCTGTGGAGTAGGCGGGTATCAGATGTCCTCAGTCAGCCATCTTGAGGCCCCTCCTTCTTTGTTAAATCTTATGGATTCAAACTGAGGTTTTGCGAGAAACAGAAACAGCTTTAGCTTCCCACGGGCTCAGAACAGACCCTAGGACCCTGTAAGGCTCACCTACCTCCTTTTAGATAACTTAGTGCCAGCTTAGCTATCAGTGAGTACAACTAGAGATGAGGAAGCAGGCCCAGAGATGGGGCCTCACTTACCCCAGGTCACACAGCAGAGCCAACCCTGTAGCCTAGGGCTTTTGACCAGGTCCCTGCTCTCTCGTCTCAGGGTGATTGCTAGCTCCACACTCACACCGCCCAAATGCTGAGGAGATGAACCCTGATGTAGGCCGAGGCCTCTGGGTGCTCACTGTCCCTGTCTCTGAAAGGTCAGCTGTTCCTGAAAGGAACCCTTCCAGCCTTCTATTTCCAGCACAGTCTTTTCCTCCACATTGATTGCCTTCTGTTGAGCAGACCAGATTGAGGAGATCGATGACATTAATTTGCACTGAGAAGAAGTTGGTGATTTTCCTCCTTCAGCTGTGACAAGGCTGCCTGAGGCTTTTGGTCAGAAAAAGATGCCAGCTTTAAAAAATCTCTGCAGAAGTTTTCTCAGAAGAATCGCAGAATCTTGGAGCAGGAAGAAGCTTCCAGAAGACTTAATTTTATCCAATTTCTTCACGGCGGATGAAGGCACACGGAGCCCACAGTATGGAAAGAGTGTGCCTCAGGAAACAGAGCTGAACACTTGCTCTTTTCATGTTTTCCTCTTTTATCTGGACCTTGGCCCCCCGGGTAGGAGGCACCTGGGGCTGGCTGAGGCACAGGATGAGTGGAGAGGAAGGCTCTGTGGGAGCCACTCCCATAGCCCAGGTGAGATGTGATGGGGTCTGGGCTCAGGCAGTTGTTGGATGGATGGGGAGGATGAAGGTTAAACAAAGATAATTGTGAGACAGAATCGATGGGGTATAGTGACTGGTTACATGTGTGAGTTGGAGGAGGGATGGAGTTCGGGGCTTCTGTTTTGGTTGCTGGCTGAATGGCTATTGCTGCCCAGGACCAGGAAAGTATAAGAGGTGGTGAGCAAGGAAGTGGTGGCATTTCAGAGGGGTGAGCAATGAGCTTTGGATGTGTTATGGGACGTCCAGAGGAGGCTGCTAGGTAGTGAGATGTAGGCCTGAAGCTCAGAGCACAGGACTGAGCAGGAGATGTAGCATTTCTCCAACATGTTCTGGACGCTGAACCTGTGGGAAGGAGGATTTGCAGGGGCGAGTTCACGGCCAGGTAAAGCGGAGTCCGAGTTGATTCCCGGGCCATGCTCTTTCCACTAAACCGTATGCCCAAGGGAAGATAACAAGGATCACAGGCCAATTCCCAGAGAAGGTTTATGTCCCCAGTTTTCACAGTCATTTCCTTCTTTGACTAGCATTGCGTATATTGGTAGATATGACACTGTCCCTCCCTGCTGACACTGATGAGCATGGGTTCTTTGGAGCAGTGAGTCTGATGTTTTCTGGTCTTGGTAAAATGATTCCTTGGAGTTGATGAGAGGGCTTGGACGAAGTGGGTACAGACATGGCTGGCACCTCAATCTCCCACCATTCCAGGGACTCCAGGCCGGGCAAAGCGTCTCCAGATTTCTCTGACCCCCTTCCCACCCAGGCAGGCCCAGGTCCACAAAGAGGGGATAGAGCTATCCACTGAAGGGCTAAGTGGCTTTCTCTGGTGTCCTGAATACAGTATTAAGAACCAGGCATTAAGAACCATTGTCAGTAATTTGTCACCTTGATTTCTCTCCAGCTGTTTGGTAATTCATGTTAAGTCCCAAGTGAGTATGTGTGCTGGTTCCTGGCAGGATTCAAAGAATAGAGGTCAAAAGAAAATAAAAGCCTTTCTGGGATTTCTTAGATCAGGTGGCTTAACCTTTTGAAAAAGATTTTTCAATAACTCACTCCAGATTTAGCAGAGATTCCGTTCGGAAGGATTCTGGCGAAACAGCGTGAGTTGACAACTCTGCTTCTGAATAGTACATTATTTATTCAGTGCCAGCCACGAGCCCGGCAGGTGATGAGCTAAACTAAACTTGCTGGCACACACACGCAGAACTCAGGAACAGCAGAGTGATGGCAGCCTCATCTCAAAGTGGCTCCTTCAAGGAGGAGGACTAAGAGTGTTAAGGTGAGGATCTCGCCCTGCTCTGAATGGGGAGGGGAACTTCTGTGTGCGCCCCTGTGTGCCGGCTTTCTATACTCAATAACATTTGTTCTCCACCACAACCCACAAGGCATGTGTCACTCTCAGGGACCCTGAGGGTGGTAGTGACTTACCTAAAGGCTTGAACCCAAGTGTCCAATTCAGAATCCAGAGCTCTTTTCAATAATGCATTAGAAGAGGCTGCTGGTTGGGGTGGTAACTAGTCTCCAAGATGGCACCAATGAACTGGTTTTAGCATTCCCACCCTTGTACCGTTGCCTCTCACATTGAATCTGAGCTGACCCCGTGTAGCCAGATAAATGTGGCTGAAGTGATGCTGTGTGACTTCCGAAGCCAGGTCATAAGAAGCCTTGCAGCTTCTTGATTCTCAGAATGCTTGCTCTGGAAGAAGCCAGCTGCCGTGTAAGAAATCAGATGTCTCTGAGACCACCATGCTGTGAGAGGCCACGACTGCCACATGCAGAGGCTACATGGAGAGAGAGAGAGAGAGGAGAGGGACAGAGAGAGAGATGCTCAGCCATCCCCGAGCCAAGGCATAAACACATGAGTGAGGAAGCCAGGTTGGATGTTCCCACCCCCTCCGGTCCTCAGATGACACCAGCCTCAGCTGCCATCTGACTGCAACCAGAAGAGGCACCCAGAAAGACCTGCCCAGCTGAGCCCAGTCAATCCTTAGAACAATGAGAAGTAATAATAAATTTGTGTTTTAAGTGACTAGGTTTTGAGGTGGTTTGTTTCACAGTGATACAGAGAAAACCAAGTGAAGCAATTGGATTTCAGGACCATTTTGTCTATAATAGTCTTTATGACCTATATTCTTGTCCATTTATGATATATCAGACACCATACTAAGCATTCTACATTTATTACTCTATTTGATTTTTCCCAAGAATTCTATGAGACAGCACCTGTCATTGCTAATTACACCTGCTTTACGTATAGGAAAAGCTCAGAGACGTTAAGTAATGAAGCCAAGGTTATACAGCAAGTGAGTGGAAAGGCCAGGATTTAAACCCCAACAACCTAACCTTAGACCTTATGCCATTATGCAGTGCTCTGTACTGTGACTGGAGGCAGGTGACCCAGAGGACTAAACCCCTGATGGACAGACTCAGATCTGGGGGATTTGCCTCAGCAAGTTTTATTTTGCCCAGAGAGCTTGCTCTGGGAGGTTTGAAGCAGCTGTCTGGGCTCATGCTGAGGCTTCTGGGCACCAGCAGCCAGGGCTTTGTGAACTCATTCACATGGAGAAACAAATGGTTCTGACCTTTTCTTTTAAAATGTTTTTCAAGGGAAGTCAGTGCTGGCAGCAGGGTCTAGATTGATGGCATCAGATGCTGAGAAGTGGAGCCTCTGCCTCACGTCGCTTCAATTGGTACTTTGGGTCGGATCAGCCAGAAATACAGCAGGGCTGGGCGATGTCCCGCTGATTGCCTATGCAGGACACATTCCCCTCCCTTCTCTCCTCACTTTTATTGCTTTTCTAGTCTGCCTCTCTAGTCACGGGGGCAGCTTTAGATTTTCTGTCCTCAGAGCAAAAGGGATGGAAAAAGGAGGATACATGTAATTAGAGGCACGGATGGGGGCGGGAGGCAAGAGGAGGGTGGAGGGCCGTGTCTCCGAGTGGAGACACAGGAGCCACCAGGCACCGATGGCTCCCTCTCCGTGCATGCGGGGCTCTGTGGAGGCGCCAGGGCAGACCCAGGCAGCCCCTGCTCCTCTGTGGCACGTCCCTTCGCAGGATGTTCGGGGACAGGATTCTAAGCATGAGGGGCTGCAGCTCCAACTCACGATGGCAGCTCTGGTCCTGGGTGTAAGTATGGAAAAGTGCTGATCACCAGCCTGGCCTCTGGGTCTCTCTTCTCTCTTTCCTTCCCCCAGGCCTCTCCTTGGTGTCTGCTGTCCACGAGCACAGCCCTGTCTTCAGAGCCAGGGGATCAGGAAACAGCATGGGTCATGTTGAGAGACACAAGCTCACCTCTGCCCACAGGACGAAACAGCCTGGCGGGCACAGGCCTCACATCCAACTCCTGGGGGTCCCTAGCCTGCCCTCCCTGACCCTCCATCCTCACCCAGATCCTCCGCTGCTCCCCGGGAGCCCTCGGCTTGCACAGCTTTCACCTGGGCTGGGAAAGTCTCTCTTCTGCACACTCGCTGCCATGTTTGCCAAGCACCAGACCTTTAAGTACCATGTACCATTTTTTTTTCATATCTGCATACCACATGTACTGTTATTTGCTTGTTAGTTTTCTTTAGAGTGACTCTCTTTATATTAATTGATTTTACAAGTGAAACGAAATGATGAAAACCAGAATCACTTGCTATAAATAGACGATGCCTGAGTAACGGAATACAATAAAAACAAAATACTATCATTTTAGCTCAATATCGTTGTCTTCCAAAGATCCAGGCTTGAGACCTGCCCTGTGTTTACTGAATGGAATATCACCATCTGTTCAAGATGTACCAATGAGACTTTCTTTTTAAAGTACACTAAAGAAACCAAAGAGAATTGAAAAGGGCAAAAATCTTCTTACTCTGTGATTTAATGCTATTCAACGTTGTGTCTGTATCTACCTCAAATCATTTCTCCTCCCTCCTGTGGCCCATATTTCATGCTTTGATAATCACAGTTCTGCCCAAATCCTGACTTGTTTTTAAAGACCAGCTAAAAGGTTCTACTGCCTCCAAAAGTCTTCGGAGTCTTTTCTTACTACTTCTGCCTATATCTTTTTCTTCTTTCTCTAACCCCCGCTTCCAGCCTTTTCCTGGTAATTTTTAATTCAAAGCCAGGCATTGTATACATCTGCATCATCAAACATAGTCGTTACAAGTCACGTGTAGCTCTTTGAATTAAAATAAAATAAAATATAAAATTCAGTTCCTTAGTTGCACTAGCCACATTTGAAATGTTCAACAGCCACATAAGGCTAGTGCTTACTGTCTTGGCCAGTGCAGGTTACAGACCATTCCCATCATTGCCGAAAATTGATATTTCTGCTGTAGAGATTATTTGAGGCTGAGGATGATGTTATCTTTCTCCAGAGAGGAAACTCTCATTTTTGACCAACAATTAGATTTTAACTCTTTTATATTGATAGACCCTGCAGTCCCACTTTTGTCTCTCTAGCCCCATAAGGCTGTCAAATGGTCTGTTCAGTTTCTCAAACTCTAGACTGCTGCGTATGAACGGGCAAATGCCTCAAGAGCAGCTAAATGTTGGACTTACCTCTTTGTATTTACCTTCTTTCCATGATCTTGGCCCTTCACATCTTTGATATTGGTCACTTCCCAATGACTTCAAATGGATTTTTAAAATACAGTATTCAATTTTGTAGTTATTATTGGTAGACGGGTTGGTCTAATACAAGCTAGTCTGCCATAGCTGGAAGCAGAAGTCATATCTCTGTCTTAGGCGTATAGCTCAGGAGACAATAGGATAGTTTAGGCAAGAAACAATGAGAGCTTAAACTCTCCAGGGAGGGAGAGAGTAGACAGATTTCAGAAATTTGAGCAATTGAAGAAAGCGAAGTTAGCTGGAATTGGTGTCAAAGTGGATGTGAGGCATGAGAGACGGGGACGGGGAGAGGGAGAGGAAGAATTCGAGGATGACCTTCAGGTCATGGCCATTGGATACCTCGGGTAGCACGGTGGATGTTCCCTTCTAAAGTGATATAAAGAGCGGGGCCTGGGGAGAATTCTCTCTGGTGGCTCTGGAGGTGGTTGCATCAAGTGTGCCGTGTACAATGCCCTGTTGCGGTGAGACCTGGTGGAGCAGCTGTTATGCCTGGTGTTCAGTGGCAGGACAGCAGTACCTTCCCCCAGGCTAGTTCTGTAGCATGGCTTCAGTTTGGTCTGGCTGCTGCTGCTTCTCCTCCTCTTCCTCCTCCTCCTTCTCCTCCTCTTCCTCATCCTCCTCCATCCCCCTCTCCCTCTTCTTCTTTTTCTTCTTTTCTTCTCCCCTACTCCTTTTCTGCTTGCTACTCCAGCCTTCTGGCAATTCCAGTACTCTTTGAAGGAACTTTTTGTCTGTTTCTGGAATCCATTTCTGTTGCTCGAAACCCAGAACTCTGATGACTGGAGAAGTATACACTCATAATATCCAATGTATACATTACAGAGAGTTTTCTCCCTATGGACTGAGTTTCTTCATATAACTCTGGTATGTATGCTTGTCCTATTTTCTAGATATTCTCAGAAGTGATGAGAAAAAACCGGAATGTAGAGATGGAAGGTGGAATAAAATGGCTATTTCAAGCAGTGATAGTATAATGATGGCTTGGTTGAAGCCAAGAGAATGGCTGATATTTCCCAGACACTTTGAAGCCTGAGAAAGAAAGAAAGCTTACGGATTTTCATTTAGTCTATCTCCCTCCCCAGTCTAGGTGAGGTATTCCCATCTAGGGATGCTAAGCTAATTCCAGGGACTGTGGATGTATGACTTCCTCCTAGCATGCTGCTCTGCTGGTCAAACAAAGGCCAGCCCAACATTTACCCTTCAGCTGAGGAGGAGCAGGGTCTGTGCCAGGTCTGGGTGAACCTTTCTCCTCCTGAGCATGACTAATCTGACCTGAGAGTGAGCACTCTGCTCCCTGCAGTGCCTAAAGGTTGCCTGGGGTGCAGACCACTCAGCATCCCTGGGGCAAGTGGCCTGAGCTGGAGGTCCAGGAGCCAGAGTCCAGACTTAGGGCATCGCTACATCGATGTGGTCCTTGAAGCTTAGCAGGCCAAAAGGGGAACAGGGAGGATGTCTGACACCTGGGCTTCTGCTATTCTGAGCTCTGCAGAGGCCAGATCATAGAGGACCCTACTGGTCAAGTTCAGACATTTGGAGTTTACTCTAGGGGCACTGAGGAGTGAGTAGCTTAAGTGACTTGGTTTGCATTTTGGAAATCTGACTCCAAATCAGAATCGATGGAAGGGAAAGACATTGTATGTTGTGAACCCAGTTAGGATCCGCTGTGGTGGTCCACATGAGAGAAGAGGCAGACATGCAGAGGAGAGTGTGGTAGGGACGTGGTGGAGGAGACAGACATTTTAGAGGCAGTCTTGATAGGCTGTGTACAAGGTCAGAGTGACCTCTAGAAGCTCTTCTCTCAGGCAGATCCAGGGGAAGAACCACCAGATTTGGGGGAAAGATAATAAATTCTGTTTGGACATGACAGTTTGAGGAGTCTGTGAGAAACGCAAGACGCTTGGGCAGACTGTGTGTCTAAGGCTCAAAGGCAATGTCTGGGTGAGAGATCTGGGTTTTGGAATCCTTGATCAGAGCTGGCCTCTGTCTGAATCACCCCTGAAATTGATGGCTTGGGTGTCTGCATATGGACTGCCCCTGGCCCCCTGAGGCCGGATATTGTTCACAGTTTCTTGTGCCGTCTTCTACTGGGACCACCCCAGATGACCCACCATGCCCCGTGGACTGGCTCTGCCTGTGGGACCCTGTTCTTGCAATCCATCCCACCTGCCCCTTGGGAGCTGGAGTTCTGACAGGGACAGGCCTGACCATCTCAGTCCTCTAGCTGGGAGCGGACAAGAGCTCACCATCTAATGAGGCTTCTAACTTCTCAAAGCTGCCTGTGTGGACAGACTCACAGCTCTCATGAGAGCCACCTAGAAAGGCTACAGAAATATATGCAATTGTCAGGGGAAACCAGGAGTGCTGACATAATCTTGAGGAAAGTAGCATTCACTTAGGTTGCAGTGTGTGGGCTGTGGCCCAGAACTTGGCTCCCATCGATGCCTGAGCCACAGTGTACTCTGCTCTCCCACTGCCAGCACAGACCTTGAGCTGACCTCAGGTGGTCTCCTGATCATGCCCAACTTGCAGCCTTTCTCTCTGGGATGAGCTTCCTCACAGCTTCTTCCCAATGGATGAGGACACATTTTTTAAGGCCAGTGTCACATGTCACCTCCTCTCTGGATCTTTCCCCAAGCCAGGAGCAGTCGCCCCTCCTCTGAGCTCCCATGATGCTCTGGGTAGCTTCTAACCTGTACCACTGAGTACCCCGCCTGGGACAATGCATATGCAGGTCTGTCTCTCCTGTCCAAGTGTAGACTCTTTGAAGACCCCTTCTCATCTTTCTATGTCTGGTGCCTAGTTCAGGGTCTGGCACAGAGGAACTTAGTAAGTATTTGTTGAATGCATATATTAATAAAATAATTACACACAAGAATTAGAAAGAGCCACCACCTGGTGGACAGCAGACTGGCGTCCAGTCTCATCCCCTATCCCCGTGCTCCCTGAATCTCCCTGGGTAGATCACACGTCCTGTCTTCAGCATCCTCATCTGTAAAACAAAGGAGGTGGAACCAGTTGCTAAGGATCATCCTACTTTGATGCTCTGTCATCTATGAACTAATCCCACCCTACTTGCAGTCTGCAAATAGAGAGACTCTGAAGACACAAAGCTCTAATCAGAACTGAAAGGCTCAAAGACTTGAGATCTTGCCAAACTGAATAGCCACAGAAGAGTCAAGGAAAACATCGGGGAGGAGGGCTTGGGAGCAGCAGAGGGGAAGTCCGGCCATTACAGGTGCAGGGAGCAGAGGCGCAGCAGGAAAAACACTCATGGTTGGTATTGAGGGGTGATGAGGCACTGGCTTTGGGGGAGCCAGGCAGACTCTCTTTCTTCTTCTCCTTCGTGGGTTGGAATTGCTCATTGCGTTTTGTGTAGCCTTTTAGAAAACTGAAGAGCAGGATTTTTAGAGATGAAGAACCAAGTCCCCTCATCTTTCAGCCGAGGAAACAGAGAATAACTGGGCTGGCCCAGGGCCTCAGGGAAGATCTCCTGACCCCGAATCTGGGACTCGTTTTGTCTCCCAGTTTTACTGTGAGTCACTGGAGATTGGCACATCTGTCTTCCGTATCTCCCAGCTGCCTCATGCAGAGTTTCATACCCAGAAGGTGTTTCATAAGTGCTCAGCAGAGACCTAACATCCAAAGAACCTTGAAGGACTCTGTTCATGTGCTGAGCAACTTCAGCTGTTGGAGGGGGTTGTCGGGGAGAAGGTTTGGGTAATTTTCCAAAGCTTTAGAGGCCTGGCAGGGCTCATGGTGAACTTATAGGAGTAAATTGCTTGCCTCTGTGAAATGAATGAACTCTCCCAGGGCACCAAGTGCTTAGAGAAAGAAGTAATTCACTAAATGGTTCCTTCCTGCAGCAGAACAAATGTGCTTCACACAAGCGTGGAAATGACTTATCACGGGAACATTTTGGGGGAGAATCATTTTCTCAGGGCTGTTGGATCGTGACTAGAGCCAGCACAGTGACGCCAGAGCCAGCTAGCCCTTTGAGAGAGATGGCCGAGAGGTGGCACCTCTTAATTTTTACCAGAGGGACCCTTGAGATGGGGGGAGGGGTAGAGAGAGGCAATACTCATGACAGGTAAGGGTCACCTTTTCTCATTAAGTCATCCTCAAGACTCGGAAACTGAGGCCCAGAAAAGGGAGAGGACTCTTAGAGCCATTCAGAGGGTGGAGCAGGAGCAAAAGGACCCCGGCTCCCAGCATGGGCTCTGCCCTCAGCAGGCCTCTCAGAGTCCTGAGGACATCTTCCCCCCGGTTCCTAGGTCACTGGATTAGTGACTGGACCCTCCTATTGCCCCTCGCTCTTCATCACAATCACAGTTGCTTACCCTGTATCCGGAGGGCTGGGGCAGGAGACCCGGGAGCAGAAGGAGCTCCCCCTGCCTTTCTGCGGGTAGAGCAAGTCTTCTCCACTTTGTTTCTGAGTTAAGAGAGCAAATATTCATTTGTACAGTACAAATGAATGAGCTATAGCTACACGACATTCAATATAGTATATACATAGACCATGTAACATATATAACACAATCCTATATACACATGCATAAAATACTGAGTGAAAATTAAGATCCAGAAGAAGAATATTGTTTACTATTGTTTACTATTTAGTAAACAACTACATCTAAATAAAACCATATGTAAAATGAAACTTTAAAACAACCGAGGTAATGATAAATAAGTGGTTGGCTCCGGTGGGAGAGGCAGAGAAGTCTGATGAGGAGGAAACACACAGGCAGAGACATGTCATTGCCAATGCCCTGGTTCTTTGGAGTAGTTCATTGATGTTAAGTATATCATAATTAGAAAAAAATCAATTAATTAATGAATCAATCAACCAATGAAAAGAGGGTCATTCATGAGAGTGTGTCAGGACATAAGGCCTATACAAGAAGAAGAAAACAGAAACAAAGGCCAAGGAATATGAGATGAGATTTCAGCCCTAGGAACCAGGTTTCTTACTAAAGGGAAGTCAGGATTCTCAACCTCCCAAGTTTGGATCAGGGGACTTACAGAGGATGTTGACACATTCAGCGCAGCGTCCCCTGTAAGAAGCCTGGGTGGCTTTGTCAGAACAAACAACATGGACCTTTTGCCACAGCAGTTCTCTTGGGTATAGATGATGTCAGAGTCTGTCATCCAGAAGGCCTGGGAATGATTGGTTTCTTCCCATTTTATGTGTTTCATCCTTTGGGGAAAAACACTGTCTGGAAATTTTTACGTTGCCTTGGAGTGAGGCACCCATTGGTTGGGGTGAATCAGCACCAAACAGCCACACACTAGTGTCTGGGGTTCAGCATGAGGCTACCTAGAACTGGGCAAACTGCCCAGAGAGAAGCCCTGTTCTTGCCCTGCAAAAGACACACTCACCTCCACATCACCTCTCTGCTGTTCCAGCCAGCTGGCAACACCCCCAGGCCCAGGAAGGATATGATGGATAAAAGGGCATAGCAGATTGGAACGGGGATACCTGTCATCAGGTGGAATTAACAGGGACCTCTTCTAGGTGGGGCTACCTTGGCTTCAAGACAGGGATGTTTGGTCCCTCCCCGAAATGTTCCTGCACTAAAACAATCACCTTCGCTTCGGAACTGGCTTGGTTGCCAACCCCTTTGATAAGAAAGGGGCTAAATTGCTCATTATGATGGGGTCCTGGCTAGGTGGGTCAGGATGGGAGCACAGGCTTTCCGTCAGCTTCTGTATCCTGGGGTTTAGAATGGAGTTGTCTTGGGGAGCAGCTGTCACTGTTTAATGGTAGATGAAATACTCACTCTCTCCAACAGCATGAGAAGATGGTGAGCTGTTATTGTTATTATTTTTGATTTACAAAAAGAGCAAGTCATAAAGCCCCAGGGTCATTTAGCTAATGGACACATAATTTTCCAGGCGCTCTCTCATGCATCAGATTATAGGCAAGAGAGCCAGCTCTGTGCTCCTCTCCTAGGCTTGGTCTGGCTGCACAGTTAGGGCTACACCAACACAACCTGGACAGCTCCAAACAGTCTAGGATGTTTGCACCAGGTTTCCGCTCCCAGGCCTGAGCGCTCGAAGCTTCTTATAGCAGCACGTCTCGATTTGTCAGTAATAGGAAGATTATCCACTCAAGAAGATAGAAGTCCATTACTAGTCATTTACCTGATCCTTGGTCATTGCGGGGACTGCAAATGTAGGGAACTATTCGCTCCACTCTGATGCTTCTCCCTTTCAGTAAATAAGACCCAGCTACATGGGTTTACTTGATCTCTAAGGAGTCTTTGAAGTTTTGCAACATAGTCTGTTTACAATGACCAGATTCCTCTTCCCAACTTCCCATCTTGAAATTCTGCTCCTTTTTCTTTTATGGAGTTTATGGGAGGGCTGGGGCTTCTCCTAGTTGAAAGACTGTTAATGATCTTCTGATAATCATGAAAAAACTTTCTCTGAAATTTCCATCAATAAAAGGCACATCATATACTGCCTCCTCTTTGGAACCTCCTTGTTTCTCCAGTTGGAATTGAGCACCCCTCTGCCTGCACATTCCCTTCTTGTGACATGGAAACTGTGCACCGTGTTGTGGCTGTACACAGTTGTGTCTCTCCCATTTGCTTGTTAAGTCCCTTGAGGGCAGGGAATGAGGTCATGAGGGAGAAGCTGTGCCAGGTACGTAGCACAGAGTCAGAAGGTGATGGGCGCTAAAGGAGGTCAGCTGCCTCTCTGGTCTGCCCAGTGCCGGGTGCAAAGTGGGTCAATTTAGATTTTAGTTGAACACACATGGAACTGAGAGGTCAAAAGGACAAACAAGCTAAAGCAATAAGAAATAGGATAAAGGTTTTGTGAGACTCCTGAATTATTTGTTCTGAGTGGGGAAAGAGAGGGGATATGTTCAGTTTTGTTATAATACAATTGTGGGTGGCGGGGAGGGGGTTTCCAGATTTAGTTGCACTGAGCACAGGAGACAAATCAGATTGTGTGATTTGAATTTCTTGATTTTGAAAATTTGAGATGGGTTCCACCTGCTGCTGCCACCCGGTCTCTGGGGTATCTAAACCACATGTACTGACACCGGGACAAGGGAAGGGACCTGCCTCTTCAACCCATAGTGTACCCCACACATGTGGGTTTCCTGTTTGGCTTAAACTGAGGGAAGGGTCATCATTTACATTTGAAGTATTTTTGTTATACGAAATGTTAATGATCATGCTATTTGTAATAGTGGGGCTTGGCCTCCAAACCTAGGGGAGCAATTAGAATTATTTTACTGCAAAGAGCAATCTGTTGCCTTTATAATTTTTTAGTTCTTCAAATAATCTCCATCTGATTTTTTCTTTAGTTAGAACAATGTAGGGGGAAGTGAACTGGGGCCCTCAGGAGGAGGATTATTAATAGTTGCTGCCACCCCCATCAGCTCCAGTTAACCAGCACACAGCCTTTGCCACTATCTCTAAGCCATACAAGGGTCTTGCCAAATAATTATTATTTCCTTTACTTTAAGATGGGGGAACTGAGACCCCAAAAGGATAAGTGACTTCAGCTCAGGACTGAAGCCAGGATTCAAAATCAGACCTGCCAGCCTTCAAAGCTTGTGTCCCTGCCTCCAGACCTTCTCCTTTCCAGAAGCCAGGCTGGCTTCTGTGCAGGAGCCTGTGCTGCTGGGGTGTGTCACTGAGCCCAGGACGGGCCCCACGGGCAGGAAATGCACCTGAGAGCGTTTGCTGGAGAGTCTATGGAGGGCGAGGGCTTCTGCTGTCTGAAGGGCCCGTCTGATCTTTTGATATCATGAAAAAATCTTCCGCACAATTTGCATCCTTAAAAGGCAAATCAGGATAACAGATAATGACCCCTACGGTTTCAGCTCTGGCTTTCCTCCGAGCCTGTGCAATCGCTCTAAGATGTAGCAGAAAGGTCGCACAGGCTGTGGACTCAAAGCCGTTTACCTTGACCAAGTTACTCGGCATCTGGGAGGTTTAGTTTCCTTATTTGTAAAATGAGGCTAATAAAATCCCCTTCTTGGGGGTGATATGACGGTAAAATGATACGTTGAATGGCAGTGCCTAAAACAGTACCTAGAACACGGTAAGCACACCGTAAAAAAGAGATTAAAGCGCATGAACGTAAGCATACACTCTCAAAAGACTGGCGTAGATATTGAGTATATGAATATATGGCAAAGGCCACAGGGCTTTGTTAATGTAATGCGCTGGATGCTGCTGTGGGATGATTACAGGTGATTTTGCGGTAGGGACACTGAGCCTTGGGGCAAGCATGCGATTCATTGGGGGTCGTTGCCATTTGCTCAGTGAGGGAGTGATGAGTTACTCCTCCTCTGTAGCCTGTCGCCCACTCCTCAGGGCCCCACCCATTAGGAAATGCTGGACAGTGGTAGGTGGAAGGGTGGCCTGAGCTCAGCCCTGCAGGAGAACAGAGGAGAGGAGAAAAGGAAGGCCCACACTCAAGAGCTGAAAGCCTCCACCATTTTACTTTAGTGGTAGACTCCAAGCAGTTTCATTACTTCGAAGGGCTGAAAAGGCAACAGACACCAGCCTATTTAAATAGCCCAAATCTTGTAGCAGGAGAGACACAGAGTTGTTAAAACTCAGCAAACATTTATCAGTCCCCGAAGCACCTCCAGCGTTCACCCAGGGGCTTGGAAGGAGGCTGTTCAGTCCGTGGGAGTGGGTGATTGATGTGCGTAATATGCCACGGTGGCTCTGGGTTGGGCCTTTATTGCATTAGCTCCCACGCATGAAGCGTGATGCATGGACTCAATTCACTTCACATGGCGGATGGGCCTGCATTGACATGAGGATGCCTCTCCCCGAACACATTTGAGGCCAGGGAGGAGATCATGAGGAAAGATGCAGGGTGACAGGAAGGGCTGGGGACATGGACTGTCCTGCTGCCACCCATGATTATGCAGTTCACCTGGGGCTGGAGCACCACGTGGCAAGAGGGCTTTTCTGTAAAAATGGACCATTCCTTCACTGGATCTGCCATAGCCCTTCTGTTCTGTTTAAGATGCAGTGGGGAAGGTAATCAGAGAATGAGCAGCATCATGGATGCCTGGAACCTGCTCATTTTGGTTTAAAATTTGCTCTTTTTCATGCTTCTGGCTTGTTTTTCTTTGCAGTTTTGAACTTGCTAAACAATGTTTATTTATTATTTTCAAAGCCTTTGGCTCACTCGGACAAAGGGAGCTCAGATTAGTGGAGAGAACATTTGATTAGGATCTCAGAGACCTAGCGAGCTCTGTGATCTTGGCAATTTCACCCTTTCAACAAACATTGAGGGCCCTCATTCTGTGCAAGGGATCCCATTAGATGCCATGGAAGATGCCAAGATGTGTGAACAGCCTCTGCCCCCAAAGTGCCATAATCCCTCCCTGTATCTCACTTTATCTGAAAATTGAGAACTGTGGGATATGCCCAGCATCTTCCATAGAGTTGCAGATAGGATGATGCATGAAAGCACTCAGCACCTTCTCTCTGTCCTCGAGTATTAAGAGAATTACCAAGATGTCATCAAGATGTGAGTGCTAACTTTCCATTTTTATTTAAAAATGAAACTAATGATGACCCTTTTTACTTATCCAAAGGTTTGAAATGTAAGAACCAAATAGATCAACTAAACCTTTAAGTCAGTCTCAGGACATTGGCAAGTAGGGCAGAAAGGGGCTGGCTGCCCCTCCATTCTGCTGGGGCCAGTATCCCTCTGGTTTTCCAAGGGGCCATTAAAAATACATAGTGCCCAAGAAGTGACAAAGAAATGGAGTCTCTGCTTGTCCTTGGAAAAAAATGTAGGCCACAGTAAGACCCCTGAGAAAAATCTCTAGACAGTCTGCCAACCTCTTTCCATCATCTGGAAAGGAAAGGAAGGTCCACAGAGGCAGCTCAGTAAGGGCAGAGGGTGGGCCACAGGCTCTCTGAGTGTCCTCCATGATTCATCAGTGTGGAAAAGCGAACATCAGTCCTCAGAGCCCAGCTTCGAGGCACAAAAAGGCTGCAAGACTCAGCCAGAAAGCTGGGCCCACACTTGGGGATGAGGGTGAAAATGGCTCACAGAAATGGTTTCTCAACAGCATTGACTGCCTATGGGGTGTGCATGAGAATTGCAGCAGGATCCTCACAGATGAAGGGGGGCTCCCTGGATTCAGAGGCAGGTGCAATATCTCAGGTGTTTAAGGAGTCGGGTTAAGTTGTGATTATAAGGACTATGCAATCAGATGACTGTCCTGAATGGCCACATACTCATTGGAGCAAGATAATAAAAGGCTGAGAGTGACTAATCACATTTAAGATAAAGTGTGAAAGTTTGAGGGTCCCCTTGACAGCATAGAAAGAATTTTCATCTCCTGCACCTGGAGGGCAGAAAAAGCTCAGGATCAGGCACAAGACTGAATCATGAGGGTGGCTGAGCTCCAGAGAAGGTTCAGTTCTCGACCACAGCAAGTCTGCAATGCCACCATTGTCACGGCTGGGAAGAAATAAGACCTTGAAATGGGATAGGGACATCTGGGCCAATACACTTGAGGATCATGAGCCCTCTGGGCCTGGAGAAGGGGCTCACTCCTCCCTATTAAAGGCTATTCCCCTCCTTTGCTTAAAGATGTTGTAACCTCTTTCAACAAAAATTCAACAAAAATTGAATGATCATGGGAGTTTGTTACTAGCTGTCTTCAATAAGAACAAATAAATTAAAAAGGGCTGAAGAGAGAACTATGAAGCACTTACTTTAAATTAAAAAAGAAAGGGTAGGTTTAGAATTGAAATGTTACTGTCACCAGAATTACCACATCTCAGATAAATGTTGCTGTAAGTCCATTCCTAGGGTGTAAGTCAGGAAAGGAGTTGTTGGGCTGACCCTGGCTCTGAGTGAATGGCCCAATACATGGTGGGTACATAGTGACTACCTTGACATCCAGAGAAGGCACAGTTTATGTAAAGGGAGACTGGGAGCTGTTAGAGTTTTAGAATCTTCTTCCCTCAGTCTTCATGGGGCTTTAGTGATCAAATGGGGGGCACAGACTCATGTCAGGCAGCCCTGGCTGGGTGGGGATTCTTCTTTTGCCCTTTGTAGGTTGTGTCACCCCAAGCCAATTTCTCAGCTTCAATGAGCCTCAGTTTCCCCATGTGTAAAATAGTGTTAATAAAACCTCCTCCCAGAGTTGCTGAGAGGGCATATAAGAACAAAATGAACAACTCATAGCGCCATGCCCACCTGCAGTGTGAAGGGTGGGAGGGAGAGTGAACAGGCAGAAGGGGTCTTCTACCAACCCAGCTCTGGGAGGCCTCTGGGACCCAGAAAACCACCTAGGGTAGCAGGAAGGGAGGGCCTGGTCAACTGTGAGAAGGCAGAGGGATTGAATCTGGATGGCCAAAGAGAGAAAGAGGCCATCTGATGATGTCCCTGTATCCAGGCAGCATTCTGTCAATTACCCGGGCTGGGATGCTTCCCAATTTCATAAATAGTCAAAGGGCACTGAATCATCGAGAATCATAAAGAATGGCTTCTTTGTGCTAATTTTATTTCCTAGCCCAGCTTGCCTTTCCATCTGTTTTCAGCATGACCCCGATTTCTGCCTAATTTCCCAGTTGGATGCTAGAAGCCGAGAGAGGTTAAGTGATTTGCCTGTAAGCCTGTGGTGTGGTTACTTTTTATAGTGGTGAAGTCTCCATGGCCCTGTCAGGGCCTCCTCCACAGTAATCCTTTAGCACAATCCAGGAAAAACTGTGAGGCGAGGAGTCAGGAGGACTCGGTATTGAACTCCCACCGGAGGAAGAGTTCAGCTGCTTATCCTCTCTACGTCTCAGTTTCTCCGTCTGTCAAACGGGCTAAGCCACACCAAGCCTGCCAGGCTGTTGTGAGGATTACGGGAAGTGTGTAGCCATCTCCAGCCACCCTTGGCATGTGGTAGGGACTCACTCAATATGAGGTGCTGTTCTTTTTGTTATCTCCATACAGAATCTTATGACGGGAAAGCTCAAACTTATTATCTTGCAGGTTTCCTTATAGAGGTTTTTTTTTTTTTTTTTCACAGACTAGTAAGATTTCCAGAAAACAAGGGATCAGTACAGGGTTGACAACTTTTATTTTTCTGAGCAAGTCCATTGAAACAAACTATCATTCATTAGTACCATACTTTCATTAAAAAGGGATAACTTCACACACAATCACACACACGCACACGCACACACTCAGATTAGAAATGACATAATATCAGGATAATGCAGCCTTTTAAAGTTGGGAACAATTCAATTTGTAAAACACGTACTACAGGCCAGGCGCAGTGGCTCACGTCTGTAATCCCAGCACTTTGGGAGGCCAAGGCAGGTGGATTACCTGAGGTCATGAGTTCAAGACCAGTCTGGCCAACATGGTGAAACCCCCTATCTACTAAAAATACAAAGAAATTAGCTGGGTCTGGTGGCAGGTGCCTGTGATCCCAGCTGCTCAGGAGACTGAGGCAGGAGAATTACTTGAACCCGGGAGACGGAGGTTGCAGTGAGCCTAGATTGCGCCATTGCACTCCAGCTTGAGTGACAGACTGAGACTCCATCTCCAAAAAAAAACTACATTGTGATTTTTTTCATTTCCCCATTATTCAGTTTGGTGAGAACTGTGTCATATGCTGACAACTCTCCGAAGATCTGTACTTGAGACCCATTGCTTCAGTTCATTTGATCCCCAAAACAACAATGTGAGGAAAACTGGGTAGGGATTAAAGCAGTATTGCCATTTTATAGGTAAGCAAACCGTCGAGGCAAGATGATGTTCTTTTGAGCTCGCAGTGTCTGTTCTATTCGTTAGGATCACGTTCATCGTCAACAGAACCCTTACTGGAGTATTTCCTAAGTGCCATACAGGGTGCTAAGTCCCTTACAAGCATGAGCCCCTCTAATCCTCACAGCCACCCAGTAACTGAAGGGTGCTATCATTCCTCATTTTAATAATAGCTAAAGCGAGGGTTAGACAGCTTAACTCTCCAAGGTCCAGGGTCACACATAGAGTGAGTGGCAGAACCAGGATTCAAACCCAGGTTTAGACTACTCCAAAGCTGCCCCGCTTTATGGATTTTGATCTGCCTGCGGTCACTAGCTGGTAAGAGGGAAACTGACTACAAACCCTGAGCATTCTGACTCCTGGCCCGCTGCTTCCCCCTGGGGTAAAGGTCTGAGTGGGTGTCTCTGCCTCTTCCTGCTGCTCCATCTGTCCGGATACACCATCACTTGGCTCCATTAAGTTTTGTTGACTAAAGAAAGAAGTAAGCTTTTAAAGAATTAAAGTTAGTTTTATTTCAACGTTTTATTGAGGATTATCGCCGGGGGGTAGACTTTTAGAGGGTTTTATTAGACTGTGTTAAGTTAGTACTTTAGTTTATAGTTTATACACAGATTGTGAAGATTTAGTATGTGTAAAAGTTTGTCTAAGTTTGGGTGTACGAGTATATTTGGTTATAGTTTGTAGGGATAGGTATTAACCTAGACAGGTGTTATTTTACGTGTAGGAGAAGGCAACTTAGATATAATTGCCAGTGGGAACCTGGGACTGGGGTCAGAAGCTGAGCAAAGAATCCAGCATAAGAATTCTTTACATTATCGGCTTGACTTTTATAACCAGCAGTGAGCTAAAGGCACTTGCCTCTTCCGCCTACTGGGACATAAAACTCAGCCAGGAAAGGCAAAGAACCTCTTAGCACACTACTCCTAATGGGTTATGAGTCTAGCAGATACTGGTGAAGGTGGAACTCTCCAGGACTGTCTTAATCTGTTTTGTGATCTGGATTAGGGAACAAAGCTGCATCCCTGTTCCCTGTCTGAATGAGCAGTTCCCATTTTATAAGCGCAGAATAAACACGGAAAGTGAGTTGTTCCTAGTCTTCCAGTCAACTGAACGTTAGGTGCAGAATCTCCCATACAGCTGGGCAGTCCAAGTCTCTGCCTCAACCCTGCACTTCAGATGGCCCCAGTGTAGGCCTTACTCCAGCTCCAGGTGGGGAAATCCACAGGGTCAGGGGCCATGCCAGCAGCAGCCCCTGCAGCCTCTTCCAGACCATGACACAGACACATGGGATGACAGAATTTCTGGATCAAATGGCTGGGAGCCACCTCTGTGGCCTGAACTAGCCTCTTGCCCAACCTGCAGAGGTCAGGATGTACCTCAGACAGGAGAAGAGGGGCACTGTTTCCAAGTCTGACTGTGGGTCGATCGTGCGTGCTCCTTACCCCGCCTCACACAGAGACTCACACTCCTTCTCTCCCCAGCCCTTTCCCACCAGAGCCAGCAGGAGAATGGAGATTCACTTTCTAAATAAGTTTAACAGAAGGGACTTTGACTTGAGGGCCACTAGGATCAATGGAGGGTAGTGGGGTGCCGCACAGGCTGCAAACAAGAGGATTCAGTGAAATCTACATAATGGATAGTAAGACTCTGCCCCTCTCCCTACCCTGCCAAGGAGCACCTGCAGCCAAGCACGTGCCCCCCGGGAGACTGGGCTCTGCCTCTCTAGAGAAACTGAACAGATGACAAGAACCGACCTTGAGAGACTGGCATCTGGGGGTCCTCTGACGAAGTGTGTGGCTTGTTCTCTGGGCATTCACATGCAATAAGCTGATGTCATCACTCTCTGCCTGAAAATGCCCTCAATTCTCTTGCCAAGCCTCCTCTGTTGCACTCAAAATCACACACCTCCGTGCTGCCCAAAGACCCTTCAGAGTTCTTCTGGAAAGCTTGCTGTCCCCCTCTGCAAGGGAATAATTGCATACTTTACCCTTTCTCCTTAAACCCTGTCACTTTCACCAGGGAACCTTGTCTCATGTCTTTAATAGCAGCCATCAGGGAGAACCAGCCTCGTCGTCCTTCTCCCAGTGCTGGAACCGTCCCTCCATCTGCACCAGCTTCTTCCCTCGGGCTCTGATGGACAAGCAGCCTTCCCCCTGCCCACAGAGACCCCCTCACCTCCCACTCGAAGCCCTCTCCCCTCTCCTCACCCACTCTAGGTTTCAGCTCCACTCTCTCCCTGTCTCCGGTCTTGGTCATTCCTGTAACACACAGTTCCCCATCCTCTCCCATCTCTGACCAGCTTCTGCTGGCTCTGTCCTCTTCACAGTAAAACTTTCCGACCACATTGGCTGCACTCGCCAGGCCCCTTTTCTCACCCCCGTTCACTCTCCTAATCTTACTTATGTAAAGTTCACTCTCCTAAGCTTACTTATGTAAAGCCTCTTCCAGGTTATCCTTTCTGTGTTGTGGCTGCCGACGCTCTAAGACTGAGGTTCATTTCCTTGCCTAGTTGTCTGGTTTTTTTAAACAGTAAGCTCATCATCACCAAGGGGTATTTTTGGGGCATTCCATGTCCCTTGAGTTAAGAGGATTTCCCGGCCAGGCGCCGTGGCTCACGCCTGTAATCCCAGCACTTTGGGAGGCCGAGGTGGGTGGATCATCTGAGGTCAGGAGTTCGAGACCAGCCTGGTCAACATGGTGAAACCCTGTCTCTTCTAAAAATACAAAAATTAGCCTGGCGTGGTGGCAGGCGTCTGTAATCCCAGCTACTCAGGAGGCTGAGGCAGGAGAATCGCTTGAACCCGGGAAGTGGAGGCTGCAGTGAGCCGAGATCGTACCACTGCACTCCAGCCTGGGTGACAGAGCGAGACTCTGTCTCAAAAAAAAAATAACAAAATAAAAATAAAACAAATAAGATTTCCCTGCAGGTGGTTCTGCCTCTCCCATGCCAGATCTTTTGGGTTTTGCTGTTCTGTTCTGGACTGGTTCTGAGAGCGCTGATGCCTGAGAGCTAATGAGACACAGCCTCTCCTGACAGCTCCCACCTGTCCAATCTGGATCTGACAGCTCCTGCCTGTCCAACCTGGATTACTTCTAGATCCCTGACCCGAGATGTAAGATCCAAAACCACCCAGAATGTTTCTTGTTCCCCCCAGATCTCATGCGATGTGTGGAAACAGGACGAGTTTTAATCTGCTCAGCATGCAGGTGTACATGTGGGCCTCACTGTCCTCCACAGAATGCCCCCAGGAAGGGGTGGGAGGATGGATTACAAAATCCAACAGGCAACTATCAGGTAGTACAGCTCCCAGAAGTCTGGTAATCCCTCGTCGACATGTCCTATAATGGAAGTAAAGAATGCGAGAAACCAAAAATCCTGTGGATGGGAAATGGGGATGAAACCATGTCATTAAATAGCATTTTAGGGAAATGTGCTCAAAAATGTGGTTTAGGCTGTGTGGTGGCTCACGCCCGTAAAGGCCGGGTGCGGTGGCTCATGCCTGTAATCCCAGCACTTTGGGAGGCTGAGGCAGGCAGATTGCTGAAGCCCATGAGTTCGAGGCCAGCCTGGGCAACAACAAAACCCCACCTCTACAAAAACCATAAAAATTAGTGGGATATGGGCATGGTGGCACGCGCTGTAGTCCCAGCTACTCAGAAGGCTGAGGTGGGAGAATTGCTTGAGCCTGGTGGGTGAAGACTCATGCAGTGACCTCTGATTGCACCACTGTGCTCTAGCATGGGTGACAATGAGACAATGTCTCAAAAAAAGAAAAAAAGAAAAGAAAAAAAAAAGAAAAACTTGGTTTACAAACAGGTTACATTAGGTGGAATGATTATGTACATTGCTCTTTGCCTTACCTAAGAATGCATTTAAAAAATCACTGTGGCCAATGGTCAGGAGCCTGGGCCAAACTTCCACGGACCAGCTAGCTACATCACCTCTGTAAACTCTGCTTCCTTGTTAGTAAAATAAAGCTATTCATACCCCTTTCATATGCTCAAAGCCAGGACATCAGTTTGTAACTCAGCACCGGAGAGGGCTCCAGTCACTTTTTGAGCTGTGGTCACAGGCTAGACAGGGAGGAGGAGGACAGCTAAGTTTGCTCAGTGTTGAGAGTTTTGGAGAGTCTTGAGTGAGTCCTGTCTGTGCAATGCAAAGGAGAACCATGGAGAGGAGGGGAGGCTGGACCGGGCTTCACCTCACACGGTGCAGGAATGGCCACAAAGTCCTGATGAAGAGCAGCCCCTGCGGGACATCCCTGACAAACAACCCTACAGCTTCTGCTTGAGTCTCCCCAGCATGGGGAACTCACCACCTTCCAAGGCACCTGTAAGTACTATTCTTGCTAGTGATGAGTTGAAACCTGCTATCTTCTCTCCCTCTGGGTTCCCAAGAGGTCAACCTGCCCCCCAAGAAGATTCCACAGTTCTAGAAATATCTGTTTCCAGATGCCCTTCTAAGATAGGAAGTGGTAACCCCACTGGGCTCCCATTCTTTATCCTAAGGGAGAGAATCCTCCCCACATTGTCCAAACAATCAGGGTCAGAAGAGTCACGGAAGAAGAAAAAATGGCAGCCTGGAGGCCTGGAACAGTCTATACTGCAGGGGGCTTGCCAGGGTCAGGGATGGTATCTGTGGTTGAGGGAAGCAGAGGGTGGGGTGGGGTGGGGGACTCAAATGGCCTTTGTAGGGCTGATGCATACAGGGTCCAGGGGCCCACACTCTCTAAGAAATCTGGTCTCGAGCTAAGATGGCTCAAGTTTACCATTTTAATACACCATTGTACAGTGTCTCTGCGTGTGAGTGGGTGCTTTGCTATTGATAGCATGAACATGGCTCCTTCTCACTGTCCCTCGAAGACAGGAGGGACAGTATCACTTTCTCAACCAAGGCCTAACGTGGGGTGGGAAAAAAAAGTTTTATCTCAGAATAGCCTATTACTGTCATCCTCATACTTATTTTTACCTAGAATTCAGAATTAAGAACATTTTTTACTTAAAGAGAGCAATTCACATGTCAGAAATTTTTCCTTAAGAAGGTATTGAAATGTATTGAGTTAAGAATGTATTGGAACGTACTGAGTTAAGAATGTATTGAATTGTACTGAGTTAAGAATGTATTGAAATAGGTACTGAGTTTGGATTTTTTTTTTTTTTGCAAATACTCAATAACACTCGTTAGTAGACAAAAGCATCAGTGGTGTAAGTTTAAAAATACTGGAGTGACTGCTTTGCTGGCTATTCTTTTATAGCTCTTGTAAATGAAGAAATTAAAACTGCAAGTTGAAACTGAGTCACTGATGGCGCCAGATGTTTCTGGAGCAAAACTGGGAAAGAGGGTGAGCATTGGAAAGACACCTCCTCCTGTTATCTTCGAGAAGCCATTTACTGGGAAAACAAAAACTGAGCTCCATGATGCATAAATTCCAAAATGCAGAGGCCAATTTCTTTCCCTTTGACCACATGTCGGAAAGGCTCGGGGTTCAGTAACTGGAGGTGAGTCATGGCCTTTCCTAAACTCGAGTGAATGTGTTGGGAAAGGCGGGTGGTCTTGGGCCTGTGTCAATGTGGGCTTCTTTCCAGGCCATGAGAGCCGCTCTCAGAGTAGCCAAGCAGGGTCCTGCGGGGAGGTCTTGGTGACATACGTGTGCCCATTGGAGGCGTTTGTGTCTATCCTGCGGTGAGCGTGCACAATTAGGCATATGTATGATTGGAAATGCATTTTCGCCATTGCTTTCATGTTTATACATGTACATATGTAGGAATTCATGCAATGACTATTAGATAAGTAGGCTGTGGAGGTCTTGAAAGCAGGGGCTCCAAGTGTGCAAAGTACTCGGTTCTCTACCTGTGGTGGGTCCTTCATAGTTGGTAAACAACAACAACAACAGTTCTGGGGGTGAGGAGTGGAGCAAAAGTTGGTGGAGTCATCTGCATTTAGGCAGAGCCTGGCATGTGCAGCTCCAGCAGCAGGGCCAGGACACGGAAGGCTGGCATGAGAAAGAGGGCTAGCTGTGGGGCTGCAGGTCAGGGGAAAGAGCAGCGCCTGCCCACCCATCAACACACTCCACGGCACAGATGCAGGTGCAGGGCTGTACGGAGGGCAGGTGACACGATCTCAGGTCCTAGCCCCCTGGGGGGAAAGCAGCCCACCTCCTGGGGTGATCTCTGCACTGAGCCCTGAAACCCAGGTCCCTCAGCTTCCTCAGGACCACCCTCTACGAACTTCACTTTGCCCGTCATTCAAGGCCTTGTCCACTTACCCCTCTTGCTTCTTCATGCTTGGAAGAGAAGCGTCCTCAAATCTGTCCAATCATACCTCCTTTTCCTCTTCTTTTCTCCGCTTCTATTCATGGCCAAGTTTCCTAAAAGAGTGCTTCTCGTTTGGCGTCTTCACTTACTCCCCTTCCACTCTCCTTGAAGTCTGGTCTAGTCTGCAACCCTCATCAGCTGCCTTCCCCCAACCTGGAACCTGTCCTGGCCCGGGTCACCTTGACAGACTCCTAGATGCTAAACGCCAGAGGCACTCCTCAGTCTTCCCACGGCCTGGTTCTTCCTGCAGCATCCAATGCTGCTCTCAGGACCGCTTTCCTGACGTCCCACTCCTGCTGCTCCAGGATAATGCTCTCTCTTGGTGCCCTCCGCCCTGAAGGCCAGACTGATTTGGGGCTCTCTTCCCTCCCTGGCCCTTCCATGTTGGTGTGCACCACAGGCCTGCCTCATCTCTGCTCCATCATTGTGTCTCCGTGGCAGTGTTTCCATCCCTGGCTACACATCAGAAGGAGCACCTGGGATCACTAAAAATATACCAATGCCAGGGCCCATTATACAGAAATACAGTAATCACATCAGAATGTCTGGGAATGGGACCCAGATATCAGTATTTTTTTTTTAAGCTGTCCAGTTGATTTTGATGAGAGAAGGTTGAGACCCATTGTTCTAGAGGCTTCTTCAACTCCTTACCACCTTCCAAAAGGTTTGATGCAAGCCTGATTTCTTCCTGAGCCCCACAACTGTATACCTGACTTCCTGCTTATCAGTGCTGCTTAGATAGCCACGTGCCCTGCCCCCACTATGACAGACGCAAAGCAAGCTTGCCCTTGCCTGCACCTGCTTCTGCCCCGTGTGCCCTCACTCTGTGGATGGCGTTCATCTGTTCACAGTCACTCAGGCCCAACCCTGGTACCCTGGACTCTTCTTTTCTCCTGCCCTACGTATCCAACTGGTCTAAGCCCTGTCGCTTGTTTTCATCCTACCTTTTAGTTACTTCTAAAGACTTCTAGAACTGGCTCCTTCTTTTTCATCCTCTCTCACTCCACCTGCCTCAGCCCCATCCTGTCTCACCTGAGCTATTGTAAGACCTGCATCTGGCCTTCTTCTCTGCAGCCTTGTTTCTCTCCATTCTCCCCACAGCTACCACAGGGACAGCTCCAACACCGACCAATGATCACATTCTCCACTGCTGGAACCCCCCAGTGGCTCCCCATGCCCTTCAGGCAGCCCCGTACCTCCCGCTCTGCCCTGCTCTGGTCCAGCCCCGGGTCCCTGCCTCCTACCCACTCCCACTCTGACCCGCTTTCAGCTCCTACTTGCTCCCTGCTCTCCTGCCTAAGCTGCTCCTGTCTGGACAGCATTTCTGTTTCCTGCTCAGCCCTCAGATCCCCAAAGGGATGACTTCCTTCCTGGAGCCTTTTTACCTTCTCCCGCTACCCTGTGCCCACCATGCCCCAGAGTTCTGTCCTGGCACCATGACCTCCCCAGGACAGGGAAGATGTGATTTATCTCTGAGAAGGCCTGGCCCAGAGGGCATGCTGGGGAAATGCTTGTCAAATGAATGAATGAATGGTGACTGGTTTGACTACAAGGGAAGGTGGGTGTGGCCAGATGTGCAGGACACCAGGAAGAAATTCTGAGCCAATGTTGGCTAATCCGAGGTCATCCTACCTTCAGTCACACCAGAGACGTTCATCTACATTGTATTGTATAACAGTGCTGTTAGAAATGCACATATATCACTTTCATTTCCTAATCTATAACTTGGGGATAATAATATCAATTTGGCAGAAGTGCAGTGGGGGTCAGAGAAGGTCACGGCTGTGAACATGCTTTGGAAATGATAAATGACCGTTCACAGGTGAAGGGTGAGTACCCAGTGTCCCAGCCAGGCAGATGCCGTGTGCTGTTGATTCTGAGAATGTCCAGTGTGGAAGCGGAGTGCACAGCTGGGCACAGTGGTCCCATCGCAGTGGGCTTTGTGGTGCCTGGCAGGCATCCAGAGAGGGATGAGCCTGCACCTGCGGCAGAGGCCTTTGCACAACGGGCGATCCCTGTGGGCAGGGAGGAGAGTGCGGGGTTTACGCGCGGCACCTCACTCACTGACCCAAGGACCCGCTAGGCATCAGGTCCTAACTTGGTGCCTCTGCGTGCGTGTGGTGAGGGCTCCGCTCCCGTGACCTGGGGTCAGCAGGCTGCAGGGCCTTAAAAATAGCGCTGGGAGGATATTTTTAGTGCACCATCCTGAGGTGTGGCTGGAGCCTGCGGCCTCCTATGACGCATGACAATAGTTTTGGCTCCGTTTGCCAGTGATTCAGACAGCTGGTTTTGGACTTCAGGGGTGTAAAAATAAAACCAAAGTGGGGAAAGTTGGATTCTAGCCATGAGGCATCCCCCACCCCCACAGCATCTGCATCATTTGAGGCATCCCCACCCCCACAGCATCTGCATCATTACTCCTCAGAAGGTTTCCTTTGAGCCTTGGTCCTCTGGAGCTTAACAAATCACAGTTCCTCCTGAAGGGTTTTGGGCTGGTGGTAGGACAAAGGAGAACCCCGTACTAAAGGCCAGAAACTGAGGCCGTGAGAGGATGTTTAACTTCCCCAAGTCACATAGTCAATTTGTGACAGGACCACATTCAGATCCATGTTGAACTCCAAAGCCTCTGCTGTCTTGCCGATTTTTCAACCACAAAACCATTTTAAAGTCTACAACGCACTGTAATAAACTGTATCTGATTTGATCCTCACAGGAGGCAGTGTTTAATCCCAATTTTACCAGTGAAGAAACTGAGGCTCAGAAAAACAAAGTGACTCCAAATTCCTTGAGCACCTGGCCAGGGTCAGTCCCCACGGTGGCTGAGATGGTTGACCAATGGCCTCTGGGGAGAAGGCTATGGGCACAGACACTGGTCCCTGGCTTGTTGGGAGGGAACAAGGATGTCCATCTGTCCTCCCTCAACACTGCCTCCTGGGGGACAAGGAAGATGCCCAGAGTGAGTGGGCAGGGTGGGCGATGGACTCATACCCTGCCTTGGTGTCTCTGTGGCTCCTGGAAGATCCTTGCAAGCAGCGGTGAGCACTGTGACTTGAGCCCTGCGGTGGTGGCTTGCCATGTGGCCAGTCAAGGTGGACGATGGACTCATATGCTGCCTGGGTGTCTCTGTGACTCTTGGGAGATCCTTGCTGGCAGCGGTGAGCACTGTGACTTCAGCCCTGCAGTGGTAGCTGGTCACATGGCCAGTCAAGGCTCAGTCTTCTTAGTAATCAAAGGACTGAAAGTGTCCAGTAGCTTTGGATGATGGTTGAGGACTCGTTAATAAAGACCACTGCCCTATGGGAATGCGTTATACTCTCTGGAATGAGCCGTGCAGGTGGGCTCAGAGAACATACCATTTGCACACTCATAACAATGTAAAAGTATGAAAGTAAAAGTCATATGAAATCCTCCTGTGCAGAGCTAGTTAATGTTGGGTGACTGTCACTCCAGGCATCTGTCTTTGCACTTGCAAGAGGGATAACATGTAGGTAAATAGGAAAACACTGTACAGTATATGCTATCCTTTACTTACTTTAGTCAATGGTATATCAACAAACATAAATCTATATCATTTTAACTGCATCTGATTCCATTGTATGAATGTACCTTACTTTATTTAATCAGTAGGCTTCTGATTGCAATTTGCATTGGGTTTTGCATTTCAGCCATCTTTCGTGATCCTTAAAGCTTGGGCCTCAATCAAGATACACAAAAATATGCACTTTAAATTACTTAACAGAGACTCACCTTCACATTGCCCCTACCGTTTTATTTCTATTTAATGACAGAAAAAAGGGAGATGATGGAGACACAAAAGGAGAGCCTCGCCTGCCACCGCTCAGGCAACCTCACCAACTGCTTTACTTTGTTAAATGCAAGAATCTCTGTATTAATTTTGCAATTCTTAGCAATAAGTCACCTGGCTTGACGAAGCTCCAGTCTTATTTTAGGGCCTTGTCTTACCCGGATGTCACTTCTCTGAGCCATCCCAGCTAGCAGAGGGGAGAGGAGAGCTACGTTCTCCTGCAAGCAAATGTCATCACATGGTAAGCCGAGGTTCCACTACTGGTGCTTACGGTGCCGCCCCAGGCAGCCTGTTGGACTTTGAGCTCTACTTTCCTTGCAGGATCATCTTTTGAGAGCCAAATGCAGTCATATATGTGAAAGCAAATGTTTTTTAATTGCAACAGGCAATAAAACATGAAGCTGTCATTTTGTTAATTATTTTGACCACCTAGTGGTTCTTAAAATTTTCAAATATGGCTGTGTTTTTATTTTTTATTCTATTTTACTATTTATGTATTTGTTTGTTTGTTTATTTTTTGAGATGGAGTTTTTGCTTTTGTTGAGCGGGCTGGAGTGCAATGGTGTGATCTTGGCTCACTGCAACCTCCACCTCCTGGATTCAACTGATTCTCCTGCCTCAGCCTCCTGAGTAACTGGGATTATAGACATCTGTCACCATGTCTGGCTATTTTTTTTGTATTTTTAGTAGAGACAGGGTTTAGCCATGTTGGCCAGGCTGGTCTCGAACTCCTGACCTCAGGGGATCTGCCCGCCTCGGCCTCCCAAAGTGCTAGGGTTACAGGCATGAGCCACCATGCCCGGCTGCATCTGTCTTTTTAAAGTAAAAAGTTTTCCCTGATGCCTGACAAATATCTGATCAGCCTCCAGCACATGGCCAGCCTTGAACAAGGTGCTAGGAGTATAGCACCAATAAGATAGCTGTGGTTTCATCTTTTCCAGAGCTGGCATTCTAGTAACTGAGAGTCCTTGCACTACCCATTGTAGTATGCATGGTAGTATTTGTGGTAGTATCTGTTGTAGTACCTTTTGTTGTATCCATAATTATATCCATAGAGCAAGGAAAGTGCATCATGGTTGGTATGAATTCAGTGCTATTTTTAAATGAATTTCTATGTTGTTAGTTACAATGGCAGCTCTGTTGTACATTTGAGAAACAAGGTATAGTTGCAAGACTTCATATTCATTTAGTCTAGAAACAATGCTGGATTCATAAGGAATCTGTGGACTCCTTAGCAATAATTTTGAGCCCTTCTACCTGCTGCCTTACATTCCAGCTCACGATTTTGGGGCCTCAGGCCTTAGACTCTGGAGGGCTATAATAAATTTCTAGACACTTTATGGTCATTCATATAATTTGACACATTTTCCAGTTCTCTCAGGTCCTGATTCTGATGGATACTTTTACCCCCAATCTTTGGAATTCAGCTAACTTACCAGCTCTGTAGGGAAAATACGGCGAAGCCATCATAGAGAAGTCCCAAGATGCCAATTAGGAGAAAATAAAGACAGGGACTCCTCCATCCCAGGAAGAAGGCAGTAGGAGGTATTGACAATTAGGTTTTGAGGACTAAGTCCTGTTGGGACCAAAGCATCTCTTTTTTCTAATTATGTCCTTGGTGGTATTTACGGAATTTAAGAGTGCTCCTCTGAACATGATGGTCTTCTGATGTCCCTCACAGGCAACTCAAAAGAATAGGGATAATTCTTCGAGAAAACATGTGTGATTCACCACCAAAAACCACAGAGGCTGAAAAGGACCTCTGAGATTTAGATTTTGGAATTTATATGTGGGAAAACTGAAGTTCTGTGCGAGAGGAGATTTGACTTGTCCGAGTTTATGAGGAACTCAGATCTCATGACCTTCCTGCCTGGGGCTTTTCTTATTGTGCTAACCCGCTTTTTCAAGATTGTCTCTGACACCAGGGATTTATCCTATTGCAGCAATTCTATTCATGAATGAATGAATTCAACGGCCATTTATTGAGTTTTCCCTGTTATATCCTGGGAACTGTGCTAGCCACTGGAGATACAATAATGAACAGGAGAGAATCTAGGTCTCAAGGTCTTACGTCCCAGTAAGGGAAACAGACAACTAAACAGGTAATTAGCGCATATTAAGGTAATGTCTCAACAGCGGTACAGGGCCTCCTAATCCAGCTGCTGGGAAAGGAGGTGGTGATGGAGGGCGCTGAGTGCTCTGGGCCAGTGTCCTCCCCTGGTACCCTTTGATGGTGTCTAAACCGTCTTCAGGGTTGACTAGGAGTTAGGGGAGGGAAGGCAGGGAAATCCAGGATGACGTGTGTCATGTTTGAAGACCTGGAAGCAAGAGCAAACACGGGGTATGTGTGATCAGAGCATTCGTGCGAGAGAACGAGTGCTGAGGAATAAGGACGTAGCAGAGGTCAACGGGGACCAAGCTGGAAGGATTCTGTGAACCAGAGCAAAGGGGCTTGGATATTATTCTGAGGCCTAAGGAGGCCATTGAGGGGCGACAGAAACCTTGTTGGATTTGTGGCTTAAAAGATGGCTCTGGATGCTGTGTGGAGACCAAATTAGAGGGGACTGAGAGGTGAGTCAGGAGTTGCGGTTACAACATTGTGCGGTGTCCAGGCAAGGGCAGAGGTGGCAGAGGGCTGGAGAGAAGTGGTGGCAGTTAAGAGAACCTTTGGAGGAAATTGAGTCAGAGGCCTTTGTGAGTTACTGGAAGTCCATGCTTATGAGAGAAGTCTCATAATTCCTTGTCCATGAAGTTTAATGTTCTTCAATGAGTGAGATATTGGTTCACCTGGAAACCTAACACAGAAAAACGGATAAGCCGTCTCGCTGCTGTGGCTCTGTTCCCACCTGCGGGCTTTGTCCCATTCCCGTCAGGCCTTGGGCCCTTAGGGCCTTGAATGCCCGAACATCGATGTAACCAGTTCAGCTCCCTGGGCACCTATCAGGAATTCTTTATGGAAATAACTTGAAATGAGATTACAGTGGATTGGGGGAGCTCCTCCAGGGAAATACATATGTCTCCTTTCATAGGACAATCCCTAGAGAATCAGTGACTAACAGCGATCCGCCTCCAATCCTAAAAAACTGCTGCGGGGCCGGGCGCGGTGGCTCACGCCTATAAGCCCAGCACTTTGGGAGGCCAAGGCGGGTGGATCACGAGGTCAGGAGATCGAGACCATCCTGGCTAACACGGTGAAACCCCATCTCTACTAAAAATACAAAAAATTAGCCGGGCGTGGTGGTGGGCGCCTGTAGTCCCAGCTACTCGGGAGGCTGAGGCAGGAGAATGGCGTGAACCCGGGAGGCAGAGCTTGCAGTGAGACGAGATCACGCCACTGCACTCCAGCCTGGGCGAGAGCGAGACTCCTTCTCAAAACAAACAAACAAACAAAAAACTGCTGCGGCAGCTTCTAGGACAAATCTGAAACTAAATCCGCACTTCGATACTGCATCAGATGCGGGACGCAGAGACAGAGAGGAAGGAACCTGGTAGGCAGTTCCAGCTGAGCCAGCAGAAACCAGCAATGTAGCAAGCTCTCTACAAATCAGGGCAGAAGTTCTTCTGAGATAGGTGAACAAATTGTAAACAGACAACAAGAAGTCAGAGCCAAGGTTAAGGACCCCTAAGGTAACCCAGACCCCTAAGGGAACCCACCTGATAGGCTATTTAAGAAAGTAAGCATTGTCTTAGAAACGGGAAATCGCTGGTGCAGCCAGCACTTGAGTAAGGCAGTCCCCCGAGGGCAGAGACCATCCTGCATGTTGCCTGCCAGGCACACAGGGGATGTGAAATGCAGATGAATGAAATGCAGATGAATGAATAACGAATCAATTGATTGTAAATACTCCATTTCTTGGCTTTGACCGTATGGAAGTTGTGGAACAGTTCTTGGGGGGAGTGGGTACAGGTATGTGTTCTGATGGGCCAGGTATGCTGGACAGAGCCCTTGGTGCTGAAGGAATGCATCTGTGATCTCCTGGGAACACTTCCAAGCTTCTGGAGGGCTGCAGTTCGGGCCAACCAGTCCAAGACGACCTGAGAGAAATCCCAAGGCTCCTGCATTCCTGGATCCTGTAAGGAAGATGCGCTGAAAAGGGCCCCTCTGGGCATCCATCAGCGTTCCAGCAGGACACCTGGCAACGTGTACTACATACCTCCCTGGAAGGAGCTCCATTGTGTCTGAATGTGGCTGTGGGTGAGGGAGCAAGAGGCAGCAGGGTGTGTGTGTGTGTATATGTGTGTGTGCACGCACATGCATCTGCAGGGTTTAGACTGTGATGAATGAATATACCAAAAATAAGGATTCTATGTCTATTAGAAGTTTTATTTAAATTTCCTTCCTTGAGGTCCTTCGTTGAAAAAGGTGGTCATCATTTAATGGAGTTTGGCAGCACATTTTCCCAGCAACAAAACAAATTAATCATCTGTAGGCTTGGGGAGCAGATCTTCATCCCTATTAGGAGTGTGGGAAAATAGAAAATATTGCTCTGAGTGGAAGCCCAAAGGCCAGAATCTCCCAGTTTGGAGCTCATTGCAGAGGACTTTTTGCTTCTTTCTGGCTTCTCGGCTGCATTCTGAGTAGAAGAGGGTGTGAGACAATGTCCTTCAGATAAACAAGATGTCACTGTGGTGGGGAAATAATGTGAACACATAGAAATTGCTCAAGAAATGAGCACAGATGGAGGGAATGGAGTCAAGGAAGGAGGGAGGGAGTCCATATCATATTTGAAAGACATCTAATCTTTGTTGGAAGGGCACATGTGGGTGGAAAGAATTCAAGGAAGCCTCATTCATTCATTATTTATTAATCCTTTACAAAACTCCATTTAATAGACTTTGGTGCCTGCCATGTGGCAGGTACTGAGCTGGGAGCTGGTCATACAGCCAGAGACAACACATGTATGGCCCTTGCCCTCATGGAGCTTATAGTCTAGTGGAGAGGAGAGGCCGCCACTGATTAAGACCGCAAGTGCTGTGAAGAAAAAGAACAAGCAGAAGCAAGCATAATAGGGGAGGCCCGCTTAGGACTAGGGAAGGTGACATTTAAGCAGAAGGCTGAAAAACGAGCAGGATTCCATCCTGTGAAGAGCTCGGGGAAGGGCATGCCGGGTAGAGGGAGCTGCATCTGCAAGGGCCTAAGGCAGTGAGGAACTTGGCTCTGGGAGAAATGGAAAGGAGAGGACAGTGTGTCTAGAGGGTGGAAGGCAGAGACACAGGAAATGAAACAGGAGACATAGGAGGGGCCAGATTCTGTAAGGCCTTGTAGGCCTCAGGACACAGAGAGGCGCTTGAGTTGCATTTTGAGGGCAATGGGAAGTTGCTGGTGGGTTTGAATCGGGGCTTAGGGTTTTTTGGTTTGTTTGTTTGTTTGTTTGAGAAGGAGTCTGGCTCTGTCACCCAGGCTGGAGTGCAGTGGCGCGATCTCTGCTCACTGCAAGCTCCGCCTCCCGGGTTCACGCCATTCTCTTGCCTCAGCCTCCTGAGTAGCTGGGACCACAGGTGCTCACCACCACGCCCGGCTAATTTTTTTGTATTTTTAATAGAGATGGGGTTTCACCATGTTAGCCAGGACGGGGGCTTAGGTTTTTAAGCAGTCTGGATGCTCTGTGAGGTAAGGATTGGAAGAGGCAAGAGTGGAGGGAGTGAGAACAGAGCGACAGTTGCGGCGGCCCAGAGTGGGGAGGGTGGGGGAAGTGGGGTTGCAGGGAAGGGCCCTGGAGAGGTGTTCTAATACAGAATGGATAGGACTCGGGGCTGCTAGATGTGGGGATTAGGAGGAGAGAAAGATCAAAAGTGACTCCTACATTTCAAATTTGGAAAACTATTTATTTGTTTACATCATGGAGAAAATTGTCATGACCTAAACTTTGGAGAAAAGGAGGAATAAGATAATTTCACCAATAATTCAGTGAGTAATGCTCACCCTATCACCCTCTGCCACAGATGAGGAAAGGTTAAACAAGACCTGATGTTTTCCTGCTCACTGGAGTTTGCTGGGGTTATTGCGCTGCCTTTCTGTTTACTGGACTGATAAAGAAAATAAAATTGAGCAATTGCTTCTGCCTCAGGAAAAGAAATCATGTCCTGAGTGAATAATGATTGAATAAGAAATGAGATGGGTTGTTATTTTAAACTAGGATTTCCTGCCTACCAGAAATCGTGGGGAAAAGATCATTGCATGATCAAATTTGGGAGCCCAAGTAATGGAAGAAGATACGATTAGCTAGGCAAAGAACATAAATTTCCACAGTGGGCAAACGAACCAGAAAAAAGTCACAACAGGGAGGAAAATGGAAAGATAATCTCAGAGACAAAAGCATCTGGGGTATTTGAATGAGTTAAGAGGAAGGGCCTGGAATCAGTCCGCAGAGCCTGGGCTCCAAAAGGGTTCAGTGGCTCAACCAGGAGTTCAGGTGGCAAAAGGGAAAGGGGAAATCTGACCAGATGACAGGCTGTTGTCTCAGGGTGAAAGGTAGGGGGTGGAAGGACAATGGGTATATGAGTCAAAGGCACCAAGGTCACTGCCAGTCCACAGCTGGCCCTACTGCCTTGATCTGCACCAGGGTGGGCAGGACTGAGACTCCTTTGGTCACTGGAGTCCGAAAAGGAGCTGAGGGGCTCCCCTGCTTTCTGCACCCCTCTCCCCACCCTCACCCTCTCACCCTTTTCTCCCCTCCTACCCTACATTGGATCACCCAGCCAGGGAACTCTCCTCACAGGCTGGGCTTCTCTCTCCTCCTTGGCTAGAAGGCCTCCCTCCTCTGACATCATCATCATCATCAACACTGATGAGCTGGGACTCTGTCAGATGTAGGGAATGCACGGCCGCATGAGCACCAGTGTGACAGCAGCTACACACAGCCCTCCAGAGCGACTATATAAAAAGGCTCACCCAGCAACTGATTGGCATCCATGAATCAGGGAGTGAAGATGGACTGACCCTCAGAAGTGTCTAATAGGATAAGGCGGCTTAGGCTAAGGGCAGAGGCTGTGGCTAGCCAGCAAGAAGTCAGGAAGCTCACTCCTACAAAACACAAGGGAATCAATTCTGCCCACCTGAGTGAGCTTGGAAGTGGATTCTTCCCCAGTAGGGCCTCCAGAAGAACATGCCGCCTGGCCAACGCCTTGACTACAGCCCTGTGAAACTCCGAGCTGAGGATGCGGCTGAGCCGCGCCTGGACTCCTGACTCACAGGAACTGTGAGCTAATGAGTGTGTGTTGTCGTGTTTGCGGTGATTTGTAACACAGCAATAGATAACTCATATAGCTTCATAGGTGTTGGGAGAATTAAGTGAGATTCTTCTCATGAAGCCCCTGGCACGGGAGGCACATACCAGGGCCTCAGTAAGTTTGGCTGTTAGAATCACCATCACACTTTGTGTGGCACAAGCCACCAGGAGGGGAACATTTGTGAACCATTTTTTGGGGAAAATCTCACAAAAAGCAGAATCCAAGGGGAGTAGTAAAGAAGAGCAAGGCTTAGAGAGTCAGCAAGAGGGGCAGGTGGGAGTGGGAGAAGTGGCGTGGCAGAGAGATGCTGGAGGTAGAATTTATACGGCAGCGTCTAATTGAGTCCTTCCTTCAGTTATATGTTCCCAGAGGGTATAGAAACAAAGATCAATAAGCAGAATTTCTGTCCTTAGGAAGCTCACTGGTGTGTAGAGAAGTACACAAACGGCATAATACACATGTCACGCACGGGCAAGAATGTGCTCGAGGCTTTGAGACTGTGGAAAAGGAAGTGATCTACACATTCCTGTATGATAAGCCTGGGTTGAATGGAGGATCTTTACAAGGGACAGGTGGGAGGCAGTTGAAGAGGTAGGGAAAGGTCACCTGGACCCCCACTGGCCTATAGCATATCTTTGCATGACTTAGAAAATGGGGGCTCCTCTGAGTGGACCGATTAGAGAAAGTCATGCCTTTGTGTAGCTGCAGCCAGACTGGCACTAGAGTTGTCAAGTAGAAGGTGCCTTTCTGCAAAATAGAGAAAGTCACCTCTTCCTGTGGAGGGAGAGGTCTCATGCCGGGCCATGGAATAGGGCTTGGTAAAAGGAGCATGGGGCCGGGTATGGTGGCTGTTGCCTGTAATCCCAGCACTCTGGGGGGCCAAGGCAGGCAGATCACGAGGTCAAGAGATCTAGACCATCCTGGCCAACATGGGGAAACCCTGTCTCTACTAAAAATACAAAAAATTAGCTGGGTGTGGTGGTGTGCACCTGTAATCCCAGCTACTCAGGAGGATGAGGCAGGAGAATTGCTTGAACCTGGAAGGTGGAGGTTGCAGTGAGCAGAGACCATGCCACTGCACTCCAGCCTGGAGACAGAGCAAGACTTTGTCTCAAAGGAAAACAAACAAAAAAAAAGGAGCATGAACTGGATTTCAGCTCCTACTTGCTCCATTCAGCCAAATGGCACACGCTGCACACCTGTGTGCCTCCCGGGCCAGAAGGGAAAAGGATCTGGCTCCAGGGGCCTACCCCTGCAATTCCTCATCGAAAACCAACAGTGATTGCCCATCCACCCCCGGCTCACAAGCAGTCCTGCAGAGGGGCCTGATGGTTCCACGTCTCACGCCAGCCAGTTTCCAGGTCTGCGAATGAAGCGGTAGGGCCTGGTGCCCTTCACGGTCCTTTTTGCTCCTACGGTCTGGCCTTCTGAGTCTGCGTGCTCTGGGCAGATGTGAATCATGTGTTGGCATCCTCCACAAGGTCCACACCAGTGGAAGCTCAAAGAGCCTTTATTGACTCAGGTGGAAAAATCCAGCATGATCTGGCCCTGTGCACCACTGGTGGTGGAAAGGATAAAAAGTTCTGCAGGGTAGTGAAAGGACTGGTGGATATCATTTTTTAAAGTCTAAAATGTGGCCAGGTGCAGTGGCTCACACCTGTAATCCCAGCACTTCAGGAGGCCGAGGCGGGTGGATCACCTGAGGTCAGGAGTTTGAGGCCAGCCTGGCCAACATGGAGAAACCCCGTCCCTACTAAAACTACAAAAATTAGCTGGGCGTGGTGGTGGATGCCGGTAATCCCAGCTACACTACAGCCTGGACGACAGAATGAGACTCTGTCTCAAAAAATAAAAATAACAATAAAAATAGAATAATGTCTAAAATGTGAGAATCAGCAGCATTCACTTCCAGGAAGCATCACAGGAATCTGTGGCAGCCTGGTTGGTTATTCCAGACTCACAGGGCCCAGGAGAAAGAAAGGCTTGATGGGAACGGACGCCATGCCCACTTATGAAATGCTGGCTGCTTTTAACATCTGCAAGCACTCAGGCTAGTTTGGAGGGGGGCTGTCTCCCGGCCCCTACCTCCAACTCTTAACCCCCACGCAACCCACTTTCAGAGCTGTCTTCAGGCAAACTGCAAATGTGAGAGACTGATAAACATGTTTCTAGGTCTGGCCTCCCAGGGTGCTTTTCTGTAATCAAAGCCTCAAGCTCCCAGAAGGAAATTCTGCCTGGGGTAAAGAGTTGTTAGAGGAAGGCTCTGTGGAAGGCAGGCTATCAGAGACTGGGTTCATTTTAATAATCCAGAGATGGATTATTATAGCCTTAATTATTCATATGAACCTTGACAACCCAGAGACACCCTTGCAATGACAGCACTGTAAAGAATTCATTCGTTTAACAAATGCTCACCATGCAGCCTCTCCTACAGGTAGCAGCAAATACCAAGTTGGAAAAGGCCAAGTCCCTGCCCTCCAACTCACAGCCCAGTGGAGACGTGGTTCTCAATAGTTGTAAAGCAAAGCAGAGTTAGGTGAGTGAGATGAGAGAGAGAAAACAAAGACGTCTGAGGCACCACGTGGGTTGAGTAAGAAGGCTTCATGGAAAGGTAGCATTTGTGATAGCTCCTGAGAAGTCGGTAGCATTTCTGCAGGCTTGGGAGAGAGAGGAGGCCATTCCAAGCCAAGGAGACAGTCTAGGCAAACACAATGCATCAGGGAAGCTTAAGGCGTGTGGAGGGAGCAGAGACAGGCTGGCTGCATGGTGGGTATAAGAAGCCCAGTGGAGGGAGTTGCCAGATAAGGCATAGCTAGAAAGACATTTGCAGCTGGTACAGAGAGGGATAATACCCGCTGAAGGAGATCAGTAGATAATGGGGAGCCACTAAAGGTTTTAGAGAAGGGGACATGCTCAGAGCTGGGTCTTTGGAAGAGTGACCAGGCTAGCATATGAAGCTAGAGCAGATAGCTAAAGAGGACATATTGAGGGCCTGAACTGATAGGAAAAAACAGAGCGGTTGGAGGGATATAGGACAGAGCTGAAATCTGCACAAGCATATTTTTGAAGTTGTGAATCCCAGCTGGCACAAAACAAAGCCATGATTATGTAGCAAACAAGAAATCCTCAGTCTGTTTGGTGATAGGCCTCTGTTTTCTTTCACCAATGTATTGGGTACCAGTAGCATCAGCACCAGACTTGGACTAAGGGATTCTGGGATTGACTCAAATAGTGGAGAGACCAAGAGAAGAGAATCATGAAGAAATGCTAAGCACTGAAGCCAGAAGGTGGAGGCTGGAGTCCAGGCCAGTAGCTGTGCAGCACATTATTCTCCCTGCTAGGTGCAGCAGTACCTCCTGCACGCACTCCCTTAAGCATCAGGGAATTGGAGCTTCAGGATCCACACAAAGGCCAAGCTTTGCCAGCCTCTGTTAGGGCACAGGCCACTGGTCCTCTGTCTTCAGTACAAACTAAAGTCGTCTCCACCTAGGACAGATTGCATTTCCTCTCAGGACCTCGGTGTGTCTCATTGTAAAATGGAACTACGCAAGGCCCCTTCCACCTCTTACACTTCACGATACTGTGAAAGGGAAGGATAACACAGAGGCCTGTAGAGTCTGTGCTTAAAAGCCAACATAAGTTAGCTGGGACACTTATTCAAAACCGTGAAAAAAGAGATCGCTTGCAGTCAAGGATACATGGAAGTACGAGACAGAAGGTGGTTAAAAGCCAGAGACTAGGTGGTTTCCTCCAGTGGGATGTAGAGCACTGAGAAGGGTACAAACCAGAAAGATGGGAGCATGCCCCGCCAGGGCAGGGGGCCTGGGAATCCGTGGAGTGGGAGCTGGTCCCGCGTGTAGGTGGTTGGGGGAGGGCTGGGGTGGCAGGGAGGGCATGCAGGAGGGGCATGCCTGAGAAGTCAGCTGAAGGCCTGGGCTCCTCTGGTGCTGGCGCTTCCGGGTTTGCAGCTGCACTTCTGGGTGTTTCAGCACACGTCTCTGAATCTAGACTGGGCTGATTTCAAGGAGATGGGTAGGAGGAAGAAATGCACAACCAGGTCTTGCTGAGGAAAAAAAGAGATGTCCATAGTGAGGGCTGTCTGCTCGGATTACAGACAAGGAGCCTTGGGGATGGGAGGATAAGGGCTGACCTCACAGGGACAGAGCCTCTTTTGGGCTGCCCTGAGGCCTCTAAACCACAGCCAGCCATGGAGAGCAGAAGGCTCATCTTTAATTGGTACCAGTTTTTCTGGCAAGCTCAATTTAAAGATTCAGCTCAATTGCAATCAACGGGGTAAGCCAACCAGAAAATCAGAAAATCAGTTGCTCCTCTTGGTGCAATGAGGAGCATCAGCAACCCCAAAGGCATCAGAACATTGGCAGGCCTTCACTGGGGAACAGGGTCTCTGCTCCTCTGTCCTCAGCCTGAACTAAGGTAGTCTCCACCTAGGAGAGCACCTTCCCAGTGCACCCATTCCCCTCGGTGCTCTTGGTAAGGCAACAGCTTTCCGAGCCGTCGTTGAAAGACACTGGGCCGAAGTGAGAAGGCCTGGGTTCTAGTCCTGTGTCTGCTCTACTACCTGCTGGATGGCCGTGGGCAAGTCACTTCTCCTGGCGCTGCAGTTTTCTCATCCTCAAAAGGGAAGGGGAGCAGGGAATAAGCCCTGCTGCACCTACTTTACAGGGTGATTATGAAGCTCAGATAAGATAATGGCTGTAAAAGCTGTTTTTGGACATTACAGGACATTGAGCAGATGCTCCTCTCTCGGGGTAATGGTGATGATGGCAATGATGGTAATGGTGGCTGAGTTACTTTTTATGTGCAACTCCTATAAATATCACACGAAGAGATGAATTCCTGGTTTTAGCGGCCTAACTGTATCCACTTCATTCATCCCTGGGTTCTCACCCTAGCTCTGAGGGATTCATGTGTAGCTTTGTGAGAGAGTTGGAATGGAATGTCTCAGCGCATCCTTCTCCCTCTGCAGAGTCCAGCGGTCCCTCTTACATGTCCTCCTCCAAGCATCAGGAAATTAGACCGTCGGTACCCACATTGAGGTCAAGCTCTCTCTGGTTTCACCTGGAAGAAGGGAGCAGCTGGTGACCTTAAGTCTTTGCAAGGTATCAGGTGCTAAAACCTAGAACATTCTTTTAACACCCCAGCTACCTATCTACTCTTATTCAAGCCAGAAAGAAAGGACTCAAAGAGAGGGCTAGGTAGGTCACACCTCTATCTTGTAGGAGAGTATGACTTTGTGTGTGTTTGTGTGTGTGTGTGTGTGTGTTTACACATATGGTGGGTAAACTTTCATGAATTGCAATTCTGGTTCTGAGAGTCTATATTCTGCCTACCACTTGCCTCTCTCCATAGAATATCCAATAGTCCAAAGGTTATTCTAACTGTTACTATTCAAAATAATGTCCATTTATGCCTATCTTAGATAGAACACTATTTCGCAGAAAAGGAAGCTGAGGCAATGATAAAGTAAGTTGATAATGGTTACTGAGAGATACTCTGGGCTTCAGGGATCATAATCCCTAATCACCAACTTCTCAGACCTTTTCTGAACACACAGAGGAGCCAGTGCCCTTGTCTGAAGTGAGCTTGCAGCCTGGTCCTAGGTGCAGACGGCTGCTGTTTGCTGTGGAGCAATGGAGCAGGAGGAAGGGAGCGAGGCGGGCTCCCTCGCCAGTCTTAGAATCTTAGAATCTTAGAGCTGGATGGATCACTGGGTTTCAAGGGACCTGCAATGTGCTTACCACCAGAAACATTTCAAAAGCCATACTTCATGCTGGCCTACATTTAGAACAATTTTGTATGAAGAAAACTAAATATGTTAAAAATTTCTTTTCCTGTGATTTATTAAAGAAATATATGGGCCAGGCACGGTGGCTCACACCTGTAATCCCAGCACTTTGGGAGACCAAGTCGCAGATCACGAGGTCAGGAGATCGAGACCATCCTGGCTAACACGGTGAAACCCCGTCTCTACTAAAAATACAAAAAATTAGCCAGGCGTGGTGGTGGGCGCCTGTAGTCCCAGCTACTCGGGAGGCTGAGGCAGGAGAATGGTGTGAACCTGGGAGGCGGAGCTTGCAGTGAGCAGAGATCGCGCCACTGCACTCCAGCCTGGGTGACACAGCGAGACTCAGTCTCAAAAAAAGAAAAAAGAAAAAGGAAAAAAGAAATATACGGCTGTTGATAGGGGTTTCTAATGAACACGAGAGTCCCAATTTATGACATCTACACAATGCTAGTCAAAAGCAATGGAGTTGGGCTCTTTAGTCAACTCAGCCCCTTCGTTGTGAAATGTACATTTTCATCAGGCTATTTGGAATCACAGAAACCATTGCTATCTTTGAGGATTTCTGGTAGACTAGGGCCCAAAAGTTAGAGCTTCTGGACTAGACTGACTATGAGCATTTTACAGACAAGGAAAGTGGAGCCCAGAGGGAAAAGCAGCTTGTCCAAAGCCACACAGAGCATCAGTAGCAGGTCTGGGACTAGAAGCAGGTCTCCCATTCGCTTCCCTGGGTCCTTTCTTCAGCACTTGGACACCCGTTAGTTCTTAAGCTGGAAAGCAGGAGAAGCACATAGGACCCTTTCACAGAACCTCAGCTGTCTGGACCTGCTGATGCTTTTACAGATCCAGACCTAAGCAGGAATGGGGAGTGACAGCTTATCGCTCCCGCCATAGTGAGAGGTGAAGCCGGCTGGGCTTCTGGGTCAGGTGAGGACTTGGAGAACTTTTCTGTCTAGCTAAGGGATTGTAAATGCACCAATCAGCGCTCTGTGTCTAGCTAAAGGTTTGTAAACACACCAATCAGCACTCTGTAAAAACGCACCAATCGGCACTCTGTGTCTAGCTAATCAGGTGGGGACCTAGAGAACTTTTCTGTCTAGCTAAAGATTGTAAATACACCAATCAGCACTCTGTAAAAACACACCAATCAGCGCTCTGTAAAATGGACCAATCAGCTCTCTGTAAAATGGACCAATCAGCTCTCTGTAAAATGGACCAATTAGCAGGATGTGGGTGGGGCCAAATAAGGGAATAAACGCAGGCCACCCGAGCCGGCATCGGGAATCCAGTCGGGTCCCTTTCCAGGCTCAGTAAGCTGTGTTCTTTTGCTCTTGGCAGTAAATCTTGCTGCTGTTCACGCTTTGGGTCCACACTACCTTTAAGAGCTGTAACATTGACTGTGAAGGTCTGCGGCTTCACTCCTCAAGTCAGCAAGACCACGAACCCACCAGAAGGAAGAAACTCCGGACACACCATCTTTAAGAACTGTAACACTCACCTCGAGGGTCTGTGGCTTCATTCTTGAAGTCAGAAAGAACAAGAACCCACCAATTCCAGACACAATAGAATCCAAGTTCTGCCAAGTGTGGTAACACCCAGCTCACGAATGACTGCGACTCTTATCTTCGAGGTGACTCATCCTGGCAGCAGAATGAGCTCCGGCCAAAGGCACAGTGACATCCTAAAGCCCGCCCTCACTGTCTCTCTCCATCTCATGTTTAGCCAGAAAAGGCAAAAGCCAGTCCTTTCGTGAAATCAAACAGGCAAGTATCCCTCAGGGCTCTCTTGGCTCTGGCTAAAGTTGCTGGGACTCACGGGTTAGAAGAGACCCTACAGAGGCTTGTTACAGAGGCCTATCACCGAGGAAACACAGAACACTGGTAATGTAGGAGCCATGGGGCATTTGCTGCACAAGGTGAATTCTGTTTTACTGTTTAAACGATGGCACTGCGATATCTTTGATCTTTTTTCTTCCTCAGGGAAGTGGGTGATGGAAATGTCGGTTCTTTGTTATTGTAAGTTAAACTGCCTTTGGCTAAGCCCTGTGGTAACCCTGCTACTGTGCGGTAGGGCACTCACACCTCTGGTGTCTCATCATTAGGTCTTAATTCTGACATTATACATGCCCATGCTCCTTCCTGCAGAGATGTGAGAAAACCAGAAGCTTTAAAAAATCAAGTAAGTTTAAATTTGGGGCTCCCCAAGTCAACCTTCCAGGTAAATTCTCCTTTGTTAATGACACACTGTGCAGACAGCAGGCCTCATCCATTCCTTCAATAAACATTGAGTGGTGCTGCGAATCCAGGCTTTGTGTGAGGACCCGGGAATGAATGAGTGGGTGAGTGAGTGGTGAGTGAATGAATGAGCAAGTACCATCGTCTGTCTTGGGGGCACCTCCACACCACCCTTTTCATTCCCAGTTACACTTGAAATTCTTTGTCGAATGTCTGTTTCCCATTAGAACATTAGCCCATGAGTGCAAGGACTATTTGTCTCATTTATCACTCTGAGCCCAGCCCCAGGCACATCCATATTTGTTAAATGAAGGATGGTTAGTTGGATGACAGGATGGATTGGTGAACAAATGATCAAATAAACGAATAGGTGAGATATAGTGGGTTTCACCAAATATTTTTCATGTCCTTATTTATTCATTTTTATGTATTTTCACTCTCCTCTATTCATTTTTTTGATAGCTTGCTTTATTCCAGAAAGGATTTGAGGCAACTTCATCAGAAGTGAAAGTTTTAATTTTGGGTTCCAAAGAAAACATTTCAGAATGTGTTGCCAAATCTTAGCTCATCATAATTTGGAATTGGACAACATTCCTGAGCACGTGTCCCAGGCAAGGTGGGCCATGGAGGGACCATAATGCATGACCATGCCCTCCAGCTGCTTTGAGTGTAGCGGAGGAAAAGCCACATACCGGGGGGACAGCAGTTCATGGGGGAATGAAGGGATTCAGCCAAGGAACACCTATTGCAGTAGAAGCAAAGAGGAAGAACGAACATTTCATCTGACCTTGTCTTATTTTTGCTTATCCCCATTGTGCTGGTCATTCAGCAAGCACTTGATATTTTTCCATGAGATTTTATTGACACGGGAAATTAGGTGCCACTAAGACAAAGATTTATTTTCTTGGTGTCTATGCAAACTACCTACTTCAGTTGCCCATTTTGCTAGAAGTCAATTGGGCAGAAATGAACATATTTCGGGCATTATTTTGATTATTTTTTGTTGTAAACCACAGTAAGCACCAATGACATGTCAGGCTATGGTCTAGGTGCTAGACTGGTGTTAAAAAGATCTCAGTCTAGGGTAGACAAAAGAGATGATCATAACACAGTGTGGTAAGAGTAGTGACTGAGGTCAATGCCTGAGGTGCTGTGGGGGGAAAGAAGAGTATGCTTAACCTGGAGTGGGGCTTCAAGGAAGCTTCTTTAAAAACCCGTGGGGCTGGCTGGGCATAGTGGCTCATGCCTGTAATCCCAGCACTTTGGGAGGCCGAGGTGGGCGGATCACGAGGTCAAGAGATCGAGACCATCCTGGCCAACATGGTGAAACCCAGTCTCTACCAAAAATACAAAAATTAGCTGGGCATGGTGGTGCGCGCCTGTCGCCCCAACTACTCAGGAAGCTGAGGCAGGAGAATTGCTTGAACCCGGGAGGCAGAGGCTACAGTGAGCTCAGATCACACCATTTCATTCCAGCCTGGCGACAGAGCAAGACTCTGTCTCAACAAACAAACAACAACAAAAAAACAGTGGGACTTAGCTGAGAGAAGAAAGCGGAAGGCGGTGGGAAGGATGTTCCAGATATAGAGAACCCTCTAGAACCCAGACCTCAGGGCCATGAGAGGGCTCAGCATGTTTGGAAAACCATGAGTCATTCTGTCTGGCTTTGACGTGGAGTGTGCAGGATTATGGAGAGATTGAGATGAAAAGCCGGAGAGGTTAGGCATGTACTAGATAATGAGTGACTTTATGCGTTGTACAAAGAAGTTCAGGTTTTATTTCAAATATAACAAGGAAGCAGACACTACAGGATTTTTAGACAGGAGAGTGACACGATCAAATACGCGTTCTAGAGAGATCTCTCTGGGTATGATGCAGAGAGTGGCTGAAAAAGGGAAACGCTGGTGGCAGGGAGATGAGTTAGGAGACTGTGACACTGCAGCGGGAAGATGTCAGACCTGGATTATGACAGTGGGAATGGGGAGGATGAATGATGCAATCTGATTGCAGAAATATCTGTGAAAACCGTAGAAACTACTCAAGAAGGAAGCCAGCCATGGGCCTTTTGGTTTTTCATTGAAACGACTCTTTGCCAGTATCTGCATTTCATCAACCTTTGCTGCTAGAATCTAATTTTTTTCACGGGGTTTGAGAACACTCTCATAGATGCAAGAAAAAAACCCACCCCTAAGGATGACTTCAAACAAATCAAAGCTTTTTCTTTTAAGTACATCCATCAAAAGCGGAACCTTTTCACCCCAGGCTTTTAGCAGGAAGATTTTTCTCTGTGTTTTCTTAATGAGCAGGGGTAAGGTGATGGCAATTTTGCAGCTCAGATCTACTTGAAATTGCTCCTTCAAAGAGCCAAGGATCCTGGTCACTGGCCTAAAACTACACGACAGTGGTTCTCAAGCCTACTGTACCTGGGTCACCTGAAGGGCTTTTAATACCCTCAGTGGGCAGGCCACACCCCTGGTCAAGCACTTCAGAGAGCGCCTCTGGGGACTGAGCCCAGGCATCAGTGTTTGTTAAAACTTCCAGGTGGGTTGGGCATGGTGGCTCACATCTGTAATCCTAGCACTTCGGGAGGCCAAGGTGGGCAGATCATCTGAGGTCAGGAGTTTGAGACCAGCCTGGCCAACATGGCAAAACCCTGTCTCTACTAAAAATACAAAAATTAGCCAGGCGTGGTGGCACAAGCCGGTAATTCCAGTTACTTGGGAGGCTGAGGCAGGAGAATCACTTGAACCCAGGAGGCGGAGGTTGCAGTGAGCTGAGATCCAGCCACTTCACTCCAGCCTGGGCAACAGAGTGATACTCCATCTCAAAAAAAAAAAAAAAAAAAAAAACAAACAACAACAAAAAACCCTCCCAGGTGATTCCTGGTGCAGCCAAGCTTGAGAACTACTGAAGGAGAGAAGAGCTGCTAACCCCCGCCCCATATCAACCACGTAAAACGAACTTACTACACCTCTTGGGAGAGGTATACTGGGGTCATGAAAGGGAAGGCTCGGTTCTCTTACTCCATAAAAGCATGATTTGATTTAAAATTTCCTAAGAAATTTAATCTTCCTAAAATTTTCAAGAAGATAAAAACTTTAAATAACAGAATCACCTGAAAGCAAGATAAGAAGAGATTTGAAAGATCCACGGTCCATTTCTTGACTCTAGCTTGCCTGTGTGCACTGAAGCTGTCTGCCTCAGATAGGCCCCAGCCTCTGCTAATCTGGAGGCAATCCCTAGACAGGAAGGAGGAGTCCAGGTCAACCTGCAGCCCTCACCACCAGGGCCTGCTCACCGATTCCGGGGTGAGCTTGGAAACTCTCTACATTTTCCATTCAAGTGTTTCAACGGCACGAAGAAAGACCCCAAACCTGGGGCAGAGCCTGAAACAGCCCATAGAATCGAGTTCCGTTCTCCCCCTAAACAATTATGCTTAACTTGTTCTCTCTTCCTTAATATATCAATGTTGATTTTAATGTAAAACTAATGCCTACGAATCACCAAATTGGACCTCAAGAAGATGGCCCATATTTATTTCTGTGGCTTCTAGCACCCACTGATGCCCTGGTGTACACACTGGAGATGATGATGATGACAGTGATGGTGATGGTGAGTACTGTGAACATAGCCTGGGCTGGAGTTAATGATGATGGTGACGGTGATGGTGATGGTGAGTACTGTGAACATAGCCTGGGCTGGAGTTAATGATGATGATGACGGTGATGGTGAGTTCTGTGAACATAGCCTGGGCTGGAGTTAATGATGAAGATGACGGTGATGGTGAGTACTGTGAACATAGCCTGGGCTGGAGTTAATGATGATGATGACAGTGATGGTGATGGTGAGTTCTGTGAACATAGCCTGGGCTGGAGTTAATGATGATGATGACGGTGATGGTGAGTTCTGTGAACATAGCCTGGGCTGGAGTTCATGATGATGACGGTGATGGTGAGTATTGTGAACATAGCCTGGGCTGGAGTTAATGATGAAGGTGACGGTGATGGTGAGTATTGTGACCATAGCCTGGGCTGGAGTTAATGATGATGGTGACAGTGATGGTGATGGTGAGTACTGTGAACATAGCCTGGGCTGGAGTTAATGATGACGGTGATGGTGAGTATTGTGAACATAGCCTGGGCTGGAGTTAATGATGAAGATGACGGTGATGGTGAGTATTGTGACCATAGCCTGGGCTGGAGTTAATGATGTTGATGACGGTGATGTTGAGTATTGTGACCATAGCCTGGGCTGGAGTTAATGATGAAGATGACGGTGATGGTGAGTACTGTGAACATAGCCTGGGCTGGAGTTAATGATGATGATGACAGTGATGGTGATGGTGAGTTCTGTGAACATAGCCTGGGCTGGAGTTAATGATGATGATGACGGTGATGGTGAGTACTGTGAACATAGCCTGGGCTGGAGTTCATGATGAAGATGACGGTGATGGTGAGTACTGTGAACATAGCCTGGGCTGGAGTTAATGATGATGATGACGGTGATGGTGAGTACTGTGAACATAGCCTGGGCTGGAGTTAATGATGATGACGGTGATGGTGAGTATTGTGAACATAGCCTGGGCTGGAGTTAATGATGAAGATGACGGTGATGGTGAGTATTGTGACCATAGCCTGGGCTGGAGTTAATGATGATGGTGACAGTGATGGTGATGGTGAGTACTGTGAACATAGCCTGGGCTGGAGTTAATGATGATGACGGTGATGGTGAGTATTGTGAACATAGCCTGGGCTGGAGTTAATGATGAAGATGACGGTGATGGTGAGTATTGTGACCATAGCCTGGGCTGGAGTTAATGATGTTGATGACGGTGATGGTGAGTATTGTGACCATAGCCTGGGCTGGAGTTAATGATGATGGTGATGGTGATGGTGAGTATTGTGAACATAGCCTGGGCTGAGATGCACCTGTGTAGTGGAAAGTGCATGGGAGTTGGAGCCAGAAAGTCTTGGCTTTGAACACTAGCTGTGGCATTTACAAATTGGCCTTGGAAAATCTGCTTAATATCTTGGAGACTGTTTATTTGTAAAATTGGACAATGACCTCCAATTCAAGTTTGTTACAAGGATTAGATATATTCCACATACCTGGCATCTGATGGACAATAAATACTAGAGACTACCATTATAGAATTCCCTAATATCTGCTAAAGCATCTTTTGCCATAAGATGGAGACCAGGCAGATGATGTTCTCTGCTTCACGTGAGTGACCCTCTCAACTGGAATCCTCCCTTGGGCTCTACGTCCCCAGAGCACAGCCCCGCTGAGGGCCAGGTCCATCCAGAGCAGCTCTCTTAGATGAGCGCACTGTAAAATCACCTCTAACATGGCTGGCGCATAGAGTGGCTCAACCAAATGCGTTGAATGATGGTCACTAATAGGAAGATACACAATGTCTTGTTTTCCTGTGGCACTGTGAGAGTGCCACACTGAGGGTGAGGCCTAGTATGAAGACAGCAGGTAACTGAGCACCCCGACATACCATGGGCGCTTGGGTCACAAGCCCTGGGAACCCAGTGGCGCCTCTGCAGCTCCTAGGCTCCATCCTCTTTCACTGCTAAGCACCGGGAGCACTCTGGAAAACAGAATCCTGTACCAGGAGAGAGTGGCTGGCATTTTTGACTGCTCTCATGCTGCCTGGGATTTTTCCTATCTCAAGGTGTCTTCTCTACAGAGTGCAGATGCCTGGCGAGCAAAGGCAGGGTCTCTCTGGATTAAGGAGGGGAGGAACATAACTCTGAACAGCAGCCATTCACCCCAGCTCCGTGGCTACAACCTAGGAGAACCTGGGGAGACTGTGGAGTGGCTCTTCAAGGCATGGCAAAGGAGGGTGGCCACATGCATACAGAACATTTAGGACCGGGTGCCCCACACGGCTGCATGCCCCCAGGGGTGTTGCACATGGCTGAGATCCTATTGATCACAGATGCCCTGGGGTCTTGGTGACAGATGGAGCTAAAATCTTTCAAGAGTTCCATGGAGAAGGGGGAAGGAAGAGGTAATGACCTCTCCCCCTCCTGCCTGGGCTATAGTTGTATGACAGAATGGATTCCAGTCCCACTTCTACGGCATGGTGGCTGTGTGGTCTTGGACAAGGTACTCGATCTTTCTATGCCTTTTGTTTCTCAGGTATAAGATAGTATTGATCATATCAGCAAACTCATGGGATGGGTGGGGTTCAGAAATAGTCCTTTTAAAGCCCTTCACTCCACAGGCCACACACAGCCTGGCCTGCAGGAAGTGTTTACCCAAGGCTAGTCCTGTTTATGGGGTTCCCCTGGCCTGGAACCCTTGCCCCTGTCTCCCAGCAAACTCTTCCTCAGCTTTCAGACTCCAAGCAAAATCTCCCTTTTGTGATGCACTCCATGGCTCCTGCAGAAATGTCCTCCTCTTGTAGCCCCCAGAGGCCTCTGTTGTCATCCCTTCAGCAAGCGTTGACTGAGTAGAAGCTGGATATCAGTGACCGGGTTAAATGCTGTGGGGAAGAATAAGGTTAAAATAAAAATTGTCAGGCCGGGCGCGGCGGCTCACACCTGGAATCCCAGCACTTTGGGAGGCCAAGGCGGGCGGATCACGTGGTCAGGAGTTCCAGACCAGCCTGGCCAACATAGTGAAACTCTGTCTTTACTAAAAATACAAAAAATTAGCCGGGCATGGTTGCATGCACCTGTGATCCCAGCTACTCCGGAGGCTGAGGCAGGAGAATCGCTTGAACCCAGGAGGCGGAGGTTGCGGTGAGTGGAGATTGCACCGTTGCACTCCAGCCTGACGGAGCAAGACTCCGTCTCAAAACAAACATAAAAATAAATTAAAAAGTAAAGTAAATAAAAAAACAAAAACTGCCCTTTCCCTCAAGGAGGTCATACTCTGGTGGTGAAAGAGGCATGAAACAATTGCAATCCATATGAAAACTGCCACCATGGAGTTGCATGCACGGTTTTGGCAGTGCCGGTGAGGAGTGGCGCCGTGAGAGTGCTGATGATTTGCTTTGTGGTCTTTTTTCCACAGGTCTGTTTTCCTGGCTAGACTTTGAGGTGCTCAAGAGTGGACACGTTCGTCTTTATGTCCTTCACTGTGCTTAGCACCATGTCATCCATGTTCAATAAATGGGTGTTGCCCATAAATGCAAGAACAAACTAACAAATGATACTCTACAGCAACGATGGGGTCTTTGGCACATCTGCAGGGCCTGAGGCCTAGGCTCTGTTTTAGGGTGATGCACATTTAATGGAGACCCACTCTGCACCCCCAGCAGATTTCTTGAGCTTTATGCAACCGCTGTGGTCCTGATGACACTGTGAATCACATGTCTAAGTCTCATCTCATCTTCCTCATCTATACAGGTGATAGTGATCATCATCGCTGCTCTGTCTAACTCACAGTGTTGGGAGGTTCAAATAATGTTAACCGTGGAGGGTGTCCAGGTTCTTGGCATCTTGAACAAAGAATTGGACAAAACTCACAAACAAAGGAAAGAATGAAGGGTTTTATTGAAAATGAAAGCACGCTCCACAGTGTGGGAGTGGGCCTGAGTGTAGGGGCTCAAAGGCCCTGTTTACAGAGTTTTTATGAGTTTAAATACCCTCTACTTGGAGTACGCTCTATGTAAACAAAGAGGGTGAAGTAAAGTTACAAAGTCATTTAGTCGGTGTATGCCCTATGGAGAGGGTATCTTATGTTTCCTGCCTCCAGACCCTATTTTCCTGCCTCAATAGGATTCACTCATTCAACAAATATTCTCTGAGGGTAGCATTTTACTTTTTTCATGTAACACATGCCTCACCAGGAGAAGGCAAAGTCTGAAGAATGCTGGATCCAGATGAAAAGGCAGAGTGATTTCAGAGAAACGATAATGAGCTGACAAGGCTGGAATGTTACTTCCCCAGACAAGACCAGTGTCATCAAGAAGGCCTTGGGGCTCTGCACAGGAGTCCCTGCTTTCCTTCTTCTGGCTGAAGCCACTCTTCAGCATGAACTTGATAGACTCTTGTTGTAGGTTTTAGGTTTTAGAAGAGAATTGAAGTGTCAGCTCTTCTAAGGTGTGAATATAGTGAAGGACCTCATTGGGAGTTCTTTCCAAAGCGTATCTGTTTCCTCTTTTTTGTCTTCATTTTTCGGGGGAAAAAAAAGGAAGAGATAGAGAAGAAAAGGAGGAAAGAAAAGAAGGTAGGAAGGGAGAAAGGAGGGAGGGAAGGAATTTGTTGCGTCTAAGAGAACCAGTCATCAACAGAGCAACAAATACTGACTGAGTGTCCATATGTAATGGGCAATGGGCTGAATTCCCGGGGAGGGAGTGAAGGAGTGGGGATGGTGGGCAAGAAATGAATCTGATCCAACTACTGCTTTCAGTAAATTCACATTAATTTAGAGCCAGACAAGATATAAAAATACATAGCTCTCATATGAGAGAGACAGAGCTACTTTATCTACATCTATCTTCTTATTTAGACTGTGCTTTGTGCCAGAAAGTGTTAATACATAAAACATAACAAGGGAACATAATTTAAAAGAAGGAATAAAAGGAAAAAATAAGGGTAAGGGCATAAAAAAGGGGCCAGGAATGAGACTAAACTACGAGAACCATAAATATACATATAATGAGGGTGAACCCCAAATTTGACTCCAAGCTTTCTAACAGCTTCCAGGACAGGAAAGCCTGGGAAAAGGCCCAGTTCCTGGTGTCCATAAAACAAAAACTGACCAGTTGCTCAGGAGTGGTTTGGGCATCTCTCCCGAGGGTCCTAATTGAGAGAGCGCTGCGTGATGAAATGAGCCATGTCCCCCTAACACCTCTCCACAAAGGTCCTCACAGGGCGATGTCTTATGATGCCTCTCAGTGTAGGTGTATGGCTTTCCTCCTCCCCACCCCACTGCAGGGGTACAGCACAGAGTAACATGTGGTATCGGATTAGGACACTGAGCATTATTTATTTATTTATTTATTTATTTTTGAGACAGAGTTTTGCTCTGTTGCCCAGGCTGGAGTGCAGCGGCACAATCTTAGCTCACTGCAACTTCTGCCTCCTGGGTTCAGGTTCAAGTGGTTCTCCTGCCTCAGCCCCCTGAGTAGCTGGAATGTCAGGTGTGTGCCACCATGCCCGGCTTTTTTTTTTTTTTTTTTTTTTTTTTTTTTTTTTTTTTGAGACAGAGTCTCACTCTGTCACCCAGGCTGGAGTGCAATGGTGCAGTCTCGGCTCACTGCAGCCTTCGCCTCCTGTGTTCAAGCGATTCTCCCGCCGCAGCCTCCCGAGTAGCTGGGATTCTGCAGGCACGTGCCACCACACCCGGCTAATTTTTGTATTTTTAGTAGAGATGGGGTTTCACTATGTTGGCCAGGCTGGTCTCGAACTCCTGACCTCAAGGGATCCACCTGCCTTGGCCTCCCAAAGTGCTGGGATTACAGGTGTGAGCCACCATGTCTGGCCAGGGCACTGAGCATCTTGAAAGGGAGAAATGCTGGCCAGTTCAGAGATAGAGGGAAGGGGTCAGATTTGGACAAGTGGAGAGAGGTTGGGGTGAGGGAGAGCATGCTAAGTGAGCAAAGGCAGGTTGCGCAGGGCTCAAAGAATAGCAAATATTTGGTGACATAAGACTGCCCTTTTCCTCCTCTCTGCCTCCATGAGCAGGAGTCAAAAGGGCGCCCTAGGACTCTGCGTGCTCCTGTCTTGGCAGGAGCCCAGCCTCTCCAGAGGGAAAGTCTAGGCCTTTATTGCAGAGTGGCCACAGGAGGACTGAGGCAGCTGTGTTTACAGCAGTGGTCTCAACTAGAGGCAGCTCTGCCCCAGGGATATTTGGCAATGTCTAGAGGCGGCTGCCAATTGTCACAGTTGGAGAGGAGGCGCTGGTGGCATCAAGTGGGTAGAGGCCAAGGATGCTGCTAAACATCCTACAATGCACAGGCCCCAAATGTTAGTTGTAGAGGTTGAGGAACCCCGGGTTAGGGACAATCCTTAAGATGATGATGGTGATGACCACGCAGGATGGTGATTCCACTTACCCACGCTGCCAGTGACAGGACTCTCACCCATTTCCTCCCATGACCCCCACGCAATGTGGACGGTCACGATGGAAGAGGAGGTTGAAGCCTGGAGAGCAGGAGTGACTTATTCAAGATATGTTTGAAGCTGGAGTGTTTGTTTCTTCTCACTTCTCCTCCTCTTCCTCCTCCTTCTTGGCCGTCAGTGTCTGACTGATCCTTCCCTCCACAGCCTCCTATGTTGGGAGAATTTCCTAATGTACAAATCTAGAAGCTGAACAGGACAGACAACTCACTTACCCCATGTTCCTTGAGGCCTAAGTGTGGGCCAGTGAGCCTTACTCACCTCCAACTTTGAATCAGGAGCCAGTGACGGCAGTGAAGCTGGGACAGGGGCAAATTCTTTCCAGCCACTGTGGTGGTAGTGGTGACGGTGGTGATGGTGGTGGTGGTGATGATGGTGGTGGTGGTGGTGGCAGCAATGATGGTGGTGGCAGCGACATCCAGCATCCACCATGGGCAATATCGGAGGTGCCTGCTGAGCTCTCTGGGCTTTGTCAGGGAGAAGGCGGCAGCCCTGTCTCTGGGCTGGTTCTGTGGCTGTGGTTCCAGCTGCACGGGAACCTTTTGTTTCTTTTAGTTTTCCAGTCCTGCGGGCCAGCCGCCTTGTGAGCTACGTGATACCCTTTCACAGCATTCCTTCTTAGCTCCTATCAGCCGGAATCAGGTTTTGTGGCCTTCAGTGAAGAACCGTCACTGACGCGCTCTGTGCATGGCCTTGGGCTTCTCCGGAGCTCATTCTTGCTTCGGGCGTTCACCCTCTATAGAGCTCAGACGTAAAGTGAACGGGGTCCGTGCGGGGTCCAGTCAGAGTCTCAGCTACTGCTCAGGAGCGCTCGCCTCCTCCACGAGGCTCTCGGTGCATTCGTGTCCTCCAGCTCCTTCTTCCCTTAGGGCGAGTGCTCTCTGAGAGGCTTCTCTGCTCCCCTGCCCTGATGCCCTCCTTGGGCCATTGCTTTCTAGTTTGCCAGATGAACCCAGGTATGTATGAGTTCTTCCTGTGGATACAACTTGAATTTCCTTCCCAGAAGCCATGTTAACCCCCACAACACCTTCATTCCTAAGATCCCCCGTCTTAGGCTGGGACCATTCATTACGGCATGTGAATTTGCTGCTGCAGCCGAGCAGGGATGGGGACAGTGCAGTCACCTGGCAGCTCAGCCCCAGACCGCTGCTCAGAGAGGCCAGCAGCCTGTGGTTGCCGAGGAGACCATAGAGGGAGCTTCCAATCTGCTGGGAACGCCGGGGCTCCTTCTCAGCCCCAAAGGGAAGCCCAGCAAGGTTCAGATGAGTGGCACTCTATGCCTGGAGACTTGCACCCACTTCTCAGTGAGCTCCGAGAGTCGTGTGGCCTGCCTGTCCCCTGGAGCAGGTGGAGTCGTATTTCTTGTGGGCACTGGGACCTGGCATGCAGCCACAGGCTGTGGAAGGCAGTATGACACCAAATCCTTCCCTTGTGATACCCAGGCCACAGAGACAGAACAGGAAAGACAAGCTCCGGGAGCCCTGGGGAGGGGCTCAAGGACATCCCCCGGGCCATAAGCCTGGAGGGAGGTGCCTCCACCCCTGCCCGTCCGACAGACAGCCCATCAGCTCTGAGCTGCAGAAAAGCCAAGGCAACCCTGGCAGGGTCTGCGTTTACTTCTTTCACTTGCTTCTGCTCGGGGTGGAGGAGTGGGACTGGGGAGGCCAGCGGAGCCTTCCAATTCCTCCCCAGGGCAGAGGGGGAATGGAAGTCCTGGCGGTGGAGCTGGAGCTCCGCATCCTCCTGGCCCTGCTCAGTGGCTGTGGTGAGGGCCCCATTCTAGCCTGTGGTGAGGCCTTTCTTCCCTCCTGAAGTTCCCCCTAAAGCTAGTTCTCTTCGTTTCTCTCATTAACGGGTTCTCCCTTTTCACGTCGAGATAATTAGAAATGGCTTTCCCACCCATCCCAGATACATCTAAAAAGATGTTTGATGCAGCCTTGGGAAATCGTTGTATTGTCTTTGGTATGCCGACTTGTGAATATTTATAAGGGCAAATCTGGTTGGGAGCGGTGGCTCGTGTCTGTAATCCCAGCACTTTGGGAGGTCAAGGCCGATGGATCACTTGAGCTCAGGAGTTTGAGACCAGCCTGGCAAACATGGTGGAACCCCGTCTCCACTAAAAATACAAAAGTTAACCAGGCTTGGTGGTGCACACTTATAATCCCAGCTACTTGGAGGTTTGAGGCAGGGGGATCTCTTGAACATGGGAGACGGAGGTTGCAGTGAGCTGAGATTGTGTCACTGCACTCTTGCCTTTGCGACAGAGTGAAACTCCGTCTCACACACACAAAAAATATGGTCAAATCTATTAATCCTTGCCTTTATTGTAACTGCTTTTTCATGCCAAGAAAGGCTTCCCTTGTCTCAAGATTACATTAACTGTCTCTATGTTTTCTTATGTTTCTCTTCTGAAACCAGCTGGAATTAATATTGGTCCACAGAGTGAGATGGAGATGGAACATTATTTTTTCCTAAACAGCCGTTTGCCCCAGGCCTGCTGGTTGATTTCTCCTTTCTTCACTGATTTGCTATGTCAACTTGTAATAAAAGAACATTCTTATGTGTTCTTGGACTTTATTGTCTGGCTGCGTGTATTGATGTGTTTCTTTGTTTTGGCATCATTTGTTTCAGGGACATTTGCGAAGTCAAAGCAAAACACAACTGCTTTAACTAGTTGGGCTTCTTTGCAAGGCTGTACAATAAAAACCATCAGCTGTTGAGAATGCGACAGGGGTTGTTGGGGGTAGAGGGTGGCCTGGCACGGTGGGTGACAACTACTAGTCCTCCCCTGCTCGGCCAGCTTGAAGAGCGGTGACAAAAATGTCAGGCAGAAAGCCAGAGGAGGCCAGGCTGGGAGGACTTGGAGAAATCACCTTCTGGCCCAAGCTTTTTACTTCCCAGCTATGGCACCTGAGGCCCAGAGAGGATAAACAAGGTCCCCTGTGGTGGAACTTGGATAGGAACTCAAAGGGATCGTCCCCTGAGCTGTTTGTCCTGCATGCCTCTCTAGTTCTTGCCCTTTTCGCTGTCACCTGGCCAGCGACCTTGGCTTTAGCATGCCTCTCTCTGGTCTCCATCTCCTGTCTGGTTGACAGAACCCCTCAGGGTGAGGTTTATGTCACTTCTCTATTAAAAATCCTGGCTCAGTGATTCCCCACTGAAGTCAAACCCAGCCTGATGTTTAAGGTTTTTCACACTCTGGCACCCAGCTAAATGATCTCATTTTTCTCTTACATAATTTGTTAGCTCCAACCAGACAGACAGACACTGTCAGGTCCTGTATATTTCCCTCTGAACCCCTAATTGCCCTTCCTCTTCCTGGATTACCACCAAACCACACCCACTCTTCAAAGCCTAGTCCAAAGGTTAGCAAAGTTCTCCCAGTTCCTGAAAGATTAAGTCGGTTGCCCAAATTTCTCTTCCTCCATGGTGCCCAGGCCAGAAGACGTCTCTCCTTCCCCCGGAAGACACATTTCCATGGAGGCACCGCTTTTCAGGCATGTAACACTCTTTGCCTTTGTTGTCTGGCTGCTTCCTAGATTGTGCCCTCCTTGGGGACAGAAGCTGCCTTTCACATGTGTATCTTCTGTAGCACCTTGCGTTGTAGGTGCTAAATAATACATAATATAATATGCAGTATGTGCGAAATGATATAGGACAAGTAAATAAATAAAACATTTCCCCTCCCTACCACTCTCAGAACCTTTTATTACTTCTCATGAATTAGGATGAAATGTATTCCCAGGTTCCTGAATGACTTAATAAGCTCACCAAAGCACTGTAGATTTTTAGAGAGTTAGGGAAAGGAGTTGATGTACAGAATTGCAAATGCAATTCTATTTTCAAAAAGAGAGAGAAGATACACTCTGAAAACAATGATATAAAAGGCTGAAGTCCATTTTGGACAAAATTTTAGACTGTATTATTAAAAGGATGCATTATGTAATCCCAGCACTTTGAGAGGCCAAGGCGGGTGGATCACCTGAGGTCAGGAGTTCGAGACCAGCCTGACCAACATGGGGAAACTCCATCTCTACTAAAAATACAAAATTTAGCTGAGTGTGGTGGTGGGCACCTGTAATCCCAGCTACTCGGGAGGCTGAGGCAGGAGAATCGCCTGAACCCTGGAGGCGGAGGTTGCAGTGAGCTGAGATCACACTATTGCACTCCAGCCTGGGCGACAGAACGAGACTGTCACACACACAAAAGAAAGAATGTGTTAGGAGCGTTTAACACAGGTTCGTGCGGAATGCATGGTGATGCTAATGCACTGAAGACTTATGTGGCTCTCACAATATTTCATTTAACCCTCACAACAGCTTTCTGAAGAAAAGTTTGTGCTATTATTATATTCATTTTATGGCTGAGAGAACTGATTCAGAAAGGTTAAGTTGCCCCAAACTGCACAACTATGAATAACAAGTAAGACATGAATCCAGGGCCTTCTCTTTCCAAAGCTGGAGCTCCTTCTGTTACCCGGTGCTGCCTCTCTCAGGGGCCTGACATAGGGCTTGGCAAACAGTGAGTATTTAATTTTAGTCCTCCTCATTCTATGTCATAATGTGATAGGCCATGGACTGAATTATTCCACGTGGTGCAAGAAAGTAGCCAGTTCTGTCCTGGTCTAAGCTGAGCCATCCATGCCTGGGCCACGAGACCTAGAGGAGTCGGGTGAGCCAAGTTAGGTCCTGGGCTGGCCGCCTGGCTATCTTGCTTCTCTTGTAGGATAATGGCAGCTGCCTCATAGTGGAGGTTGTGACGATTACGTGTGGTAATGCAGAGAAAGCAAGGAGCACAGAGTCTGGGGCTTAGAAAGTGCTTGACAAATGCTGGTCTCCTTGTCTCCAGCTCTAAACACCAGAGGGGCTTGCCAAAGTGGACCGTGTTCACACAAGGGCCTCAGGGCAGCGGCTCAAATCCCTCTTCCTCGAAAAGCATCACCTGGAGATGTTCAGCCTGGAAAGCATTTGGAACCCAAAGCCCTGGAGCTCTGAAACAGTGTCCTCCAAACTCCTTCCAAAGCTGCCTGGTACCCAAAGGCTTCCTGGAGCTCACATTTTCCCCTGGGCACTGACATGGCTTTTTCTAAGCCAGTTAGATAAAATAGCAAAGGTCTAGAAGTGAGTCATTTGTGATTACTGATTTAATAATTTTTTTAACTCTAAAAGTGAAAAAAAAAACCCAAACCCCAAAATTGACCTCTAATGTAGACAGCTCTCTCCCAGTATTGCTTAACATGCATTCATAAATGTTGATACATTGTTGGGGTTTTCCCTCAAAACAAAAATCTGGGGTAACCCCTCAAGTGATTAGCCTAGCAGGACTGAGAGGCCCTGCCCCCCGTTCTCCTTGTGGGCCCTTTGCACCGCATGGCTGTTCACAGCCACCAAAAGCCTCATGTGCCTTCTGAGTCCTCTCCCAAGCACCCAACCTAAGTTACCAGAGGACTGGGAAGGAAAGGTAGGAGAATCAACCCCCCTCCCATCTGAGGGAGCCCACTCTAGGCATGTGATGCATTGCAGGATCAATGGCATATTGAAAACATCATAAAGATAACGCGTGTGCATCTTCTCCAGACACCCCTTCTTGCTAATCCGCAGAACACAAGACGGAGTGTGTTGCATTCCTTAGAGATGGAACCATTGCCTCTTCAGTAAGGAGAGACTTTCAGCCCAAGAACTACATTTGGGGAGGCCTGGTAGCTACCCAACTTCACAGACTCTCAGCTCCATAGTGTCGCTGGAGTCTTCCCCAGCCTGTCCTGAATATGCACTCACACATACGCATTCCATTAAACCGCACTTGGTGTTTTACAAATAACAGGACTTCTTGCACTACACAGCTTAATACCCTCACTGCCAAACCTAATTATCGTAGTAACTCAAGCTCACACTAAAAGCGAGAGATGGGTCCACTTTAACCTTATCATGAATTAGTAAGTTTTCCCTCTGGAGATCCCTTCCCTGAAAATGTTCACTGAAGGTATTTAGGCCGAATTAACTATATTTATTTTAAGATCCTGCATGCAGTGAGTGTTCAGGGCTTTTGTTTAGAGTAAATGAGGTCATCGCCTGCCTCATTTCTTCTCTCCCTCTCTCTCCATGTCTGGTGGGGTCCCTGGTCAGGGAAATTGTGTGTCCCACATAAATGCCTCTTGGAAATTAAGTTGGAGCTAAAATAGATGGGGAGAACACTGGGCTTTTTTTTTTTTTTTTTTTTTTTTGTGAGATGGAGTCTCGCTCTGTCGCCAGGCTGGAGTGCAGTGGCACGATCTTGGCTCACTGCAACCTCCGCCTCCCTGGTTCAAGCAATTCTCCTGCCTCAGCCTACCAAGTAGCTGGGACTACAGGTGCATGCCACCACGCCCGGCTAATTTTTTGTATTTTTAGTAGAGACGGGGTTTCACTGTGTTAGCCAGGATGGTCTCAATCTCCTGACCTTGTGATCCACCCTCCTTGGCCTCCCAAAGTGCTGGGATTACAGGTGTGAGCCACTGCACCCAGCCCCACTGGACTTTTTTGAGAACCAGCTCTGCCACTGGCAGAAGCCCTGTGATCCTGATAAGTTACAATCTCTCTGAACCTTATTTTTTTTTCTGCAACATGAGGATTCCTGCCTATCTCATTGAATTGTTGCAGGTATCAAACGAGGAGAAAAAGCAAAAAGCCATGGCAGTGCTTCATAAACTCTGAACTATCATAAATGTAATCTCTTTCTGTTAAATGACCCTGGTTATAAAGCAGATTGCATAAGAAGTCTGCCTAGGTGTCAGGAGCTACCCAGTTTCTACTTGAAACACTGAAAAAAAATCCTTTCACTGAAAAAAAATCCTATCTTTCGGCTTCTCTGGTCCTGTTAGACACAAAGAGTTCTATTAGCAAAATAAGATGAAAGAAAATAACATGACTAATAACCATTAATAACATTATCGATAACCATAATGAAAACATTATTAATACCCATAATGATAATGGTAACAACTCGTATTTATTGAGTGCTTCCTATGAGGCCGGCACTGTCCCAAGCACTTGGTATATGTTTAACTCACTGATTCCCCTATTCTGCTCTGCTGGAGCTGGCCAGCGCAGGTTTAGGAAAGCCGTTCCTAAGGATCCAGGGTTCTTTTGAGCCATTGTCAAACCATTCATAAGTGAAAGTCAACCATGGTGGGAGTATTTACACCAGGGTAATGTGCAGATGCTACAAATCGAGGCTATTTATTTATGGAGCCCATTTACTAGGAATTAGATAGTCTCCTTTTTTTTTTTAACAGTTGGGAAACTGAAGTCGAGAGATTAGATGAAGATAGTAATGATTCCTCCAATGTTGGAATATTCTGTGTGGGTTGCTGATTCTTCTCTTCCTCCTCTTTCTTCTCCTAAACCTACTGTATGAGTCCATTTGTGTTGCTATAAAGGAATACCTGAGGCTAGGTAATTTACAACAGAAAGAGGTTTATTTGGACCATGGTTCTGCAGGCTGTACAAGAAGCATGGCGCCAGCATCTGCATCTGGTGAGGCCTCAGGCTGCTTCCACTTATGGGGGAAGGCAAAGGGGTGCAGGCTCCACATGGCAAGAGAGGAGGAAAAAGACAGAGGAGGCAGGTGCCAGGCATTTCCTAACAATCACTTCTTTTGGAAACGAATAGAGCAAGAACCCACACATTACCAGAAGGATGGCACCAAGCCTTTCATGAGGGATCCGCCCCCATCACACCTCCCAGTAGGCCCCATCTTCAACAACGGGGATCAAATTTCAACATGAAATTTGGAGACAAAAATATGCAAACTATATCATCTTCCATTTGCTGTTTATCTTCCTCCATGATTATTTTATTAGTAATAACAATAACAAACCCATTTCTCATATTTCCTATAGTTCAGACATTTGTGCTGGGAGTCTTGAAGCCTTGGACTCCCGGTTTCTAGCCTCAACAGTTACACAGGAAGAAAGACATGTAAACGAGTGGTTCTCAATCCTGGTTGCACATCTGAATCGCCCAAGAAACTTTTTAAAAACGCCAACAGCCCTTGCCCCCTTCCAGACGTTGACCGAGCTGATTTAATTATCACCATTTCTAAGGCCCAGAGAAAGAAGTAACTTGCTCAGAGTCACACAGCAACTTATTGCTGAGTGAGGACTAGCACCCAGAATTTTACATTTTGAGTTCCAATTCTTTTCTACTACTCCCACCAATCAGTCAATCAACTTTTGATGGATTCGTGTCTTGCATACAGCAAGTGCTCCATGTAAAAAGCAAGCTTCAGCCAGGCATGGTGGCTCAAGCCTGTAATCCCAGCACTTTGGGAGGCCAAGGCAGGTAGATTACTTGAACCCAAGAGCTTAAGACCAGCCTGGGAAACATGGCAAAACCCATCTCTACAAAAAACACAAAAATTAGGTGGGCATGGTGGTGTGCACCTGTAGTCCCAGCTACTCAGGAGGCTGAGGTGGGAGGATCACCTGACCCTGGGAAGTTGAGGCTGCAGTGGGCCGAGATTGCACCACTGTACTCCAGCCTGCGTGACAGGAGTGAGACCCTGCCTCAAAAAAATAAATAAATAAATAAAAAGATAATAAAAAGCAAACTTCATGTGTGAATTAATCTTCAAAAGATATTCATTCCTCAGGAAGAAATTCCTTCTCAGCAGGACTCATCCGAACCATGGCAAGGCGACACAAGTGAAAGGCATGGACAGACCACATGATTTGCTCAGTCAATGGAGCTTTCAAAATCACTTGTCAAAAAATCGCCTGAGGAGCACTGGAAAGTTCTGTAAAAAATGAGGCCCGGAGAGGCAAAGACATTCAGCAAGCCAGTGTGCCAGGGAGTGAGTCCCAGCCAAGGACTCCTCCCGCCCCACCGCACTGCCCACCTCCCATACAGCCCTGGGGCCCCACTGTACATCCAGCTGCCTCCTAGGCTGTTTTCCCCTTTTCTCCCTCCCTCCCCTCTTTCATCTGTCAAATATTTAATGACCCTACAGCACAGGTCCTGGAACTTAATTAGTGCTCAGTACATATTTATTTTGGATGAATAAATAAATGAGCGATGCATTCCTCACAATTCTGGGCTCTGGGAGCTACAGAGGTGAGTGAGACACGGCCTCAGCCCTCAAGATGCTCAATGTCTAGGATGCGTTCGGAGGCACTGTGGGCTGGAGGAGGAAGCTCCGGCACTGCAGAGAGTCAAGTCTGCAGCAGGAGCCTGGCTCTGCACGGAAAGTGCCAAAGGGCTTGACGAGTGTGAGCCCAGCTCCCTCTTCACAAAGTGAAGATACTCATGCCTGCATCATGAGGTTGCTGTGGGGTTTAAATGACATTACATGCATAAGCCACCTCGAAAGTTGTACAGCACGTAGTAGAGATGTGATATTATCATTCGTACCTTGGACCAAAACTTGGAGAGCAAAAGAGCTAAGACAGCAGTCTAGAGCAGAAGCTTTGTCCCAAGTGATGGCTTGTCTCAAGGAGAAATCTGTATCATTCCTTGTGACATCCTCTGAGGCCCTTTCTTCCTGCCCCACTGGTCTGCCCCTAGCCCAGATGCATTAGGGCTGAGTCCCATAGGCATACTCACTGCCCTGCTACTCTCAATGTTTCAGAGATGCTCAGGTATTCCTAAATACACATAGACTGGGCCAAGAGGCTCCTGGCTTAGACTTACCTACTAAATCTTTCTCCACAGCACTGCCCAGCATGTTTCCTTACTCAGACTAGAACACACACACACACACAGACACACACACACACACGTCATTCTCATTTCCCTTTCAGGAATACACTTCTCTAAAATAAAAATGTCCAATTTCATGCACAATCTCTGCTGGGCGTTTTGTGTGTGCACCTTTCAGCTGCCGCAGTGGTTAGATAGGGGTCTTGCCAGTGGGTTGCCTCCACCGACTATACACACACTATATTTTATTACTGTACTGTACCCATTTTTTAAACTGCCACTGTTACAACATTAACTACAATTTTTAAAATATGTTTGTGTGTGTGTGTGTTTATAGTGTGTTTTCTAGTCTTAGATTGTAAGCTTCTCGAGGGCGAAGATCCTGTCTGCTTTATTTATTAGGGATCTTCCAAGCACAAAGTCTTAAGAACAGGCAAGAAATGGGTGTTGACTGAAGAATGGGTGAGCAGTCTGGGCTGGCATTTGCTCAGAGCTGGGTCAAGCGCCTCAGACTCTGAGGCCTCAGTCTGCACGCGAGTTCTGGGTTGGGTTCCAGTTGAACGGACCACGCTGGAGTTCTGGCCTCCAAACTGAGAGCTCACCCAGCTCACCCCAGGGACTGCATGTGATGAGCTACTGCAGATAATATTAGGACTTACATTTTGTTTATTTTTACCTGAGAAGAAGGAAAGAGAAAGAAAGAAAGAAAGAAAGAAAGAAAGAAAGAAAGAAAGAAAGAAAGAAAGAAAGAAAGAAAGAAAGAGAAAAAGAAAAAGAAAAGAAAGTAAGTTAGTTCCAGATTTTCTAGTGTTGTTTGTTTATCGAGTAGACTTACCTTGGTAGGGAACAAACCAGAAACAGCTTCATTTTTCTTCCAGTGCTGCCTTCAGACATGCTTTTCTGGATATCTTTTTCCCCTCCTTGATGATATCTTAGAAGATACCTCAGCTTTCTGGTTACTTCCAGCTATACAAAACGGTCTCCGGTTCAGGTATTAAACAGCTTAGGCCAGTCTGAATCGAAACTTCTAACTCCCATGCAGTTGAGCACTCTTTCTCTGCCTGACCTCAGGCCCGCCTGTGGCTTGAGGACCGGTGACAGGGAATGGGAGAGAGGGCTGGTCTTCACTCTTCCTTCGCTCGCTCTTCATGTCTTTCTCCCCTCCCGTCCCCAGCTCCTCCAAGTTGGGGGCAGAGGGGAAAGGGGCAAAGACTCGCATGATTGGTTGTGCTGTTTTAATCTGGCTACTGGTGCCTTCTGCTGAAGTGGGCATCCCCCAAGTCCTGTCTGTTCCACAGGACATGTCTGTGTGTTCTTTGGTGATGTCCCTCTGCCTCCTCCTCTCCCAGGGGGAAACCCACACCCGGCACTCACTGTCCCTGTCACTAGCAGTGCATTGTCTTGTAAAACTCCCTCCTTAGCTCCTGTACGTCTCTGTTTTTTTTTTTTGTTGTTGTTTGTTTGTTCGTTTGTTTTTGTCATTGGATTCTCATCAGCTCTACAGGCTACCTCTTGGGAGATGTCCCTCCAGAGGGCTCACACCTGACAGTCCTCTGGACCATCCACTTGGCCCATGGGGACTCAGGCATCCTTGCTCGGCCAGTCCATGCCAATGCAGGCTGCTCCCACCTCTTCTCTCGTGCTTGACCTGAGTCTCAGGCAGCCCCAGCAAGCCTCCCACCTTCACAGTCTCTGGATACGTGGAAGACTCCAGCTGTCATGTAATCTACTTTCCGATACTTTGGGATGCTTGTCAGTCTCACTCCAGACACTTCTCTCCCCACACTCCACTGAGACAAGGTGATCTCAGGCAGCTCAGCAAGCCTCAGGCTGGGGGCAGGTCTGTCACTCCCTTTCTTGCACAAACTCCCCACCTTTTTGAGTCCCCTCACTGGGCTTGGAGTAGGTAAGTACCTCCCATTTCCTTTCCCACGGTTTGCAGAGGAGAAAGCAAAAGACTTCCCTACTTTTATGAATTCCCCAATTTCAATGAACTTAGACATTTCTGGGTTTGACTTATCTAGGCTAGGGGATTTGGCAAACTCTGGATGAGTCTTGCTGTCATAATAAGTCCCGCCTGAACATGTTAGCAGCTTTTTTAGAAAAAACGTGGGGGCACTTATTCTGCTTTCTGTCTGTTGCACAACAAAATTTGGTAAATAAATAGAACATGCTGGGAAAGAGATGCTCAGAAATTTTTACTGAAGAAAATATTTTCCATTCAAAAAAGCTTGGAAACTATTGGTCTAGGGAGCAGTTGCAGAAATACATGTTGTAACATGAAAACCAGCTATAATAAAAAATGTTTTTGAAAACACAAAACCTTCTTTTATGAGTCTACCAATGATTTAATGCCACAGACAATACATGGCATGAGAATCTTTATAATTGGGAAATATACATAATTTTTTTTAAATGAAGGGAGCAGAAGGGACTGGCTCCAACATCTGTTGAAAAGTTCCCAATAAATTGTCATTCCATTGAAAGAGATATGATTTCCAAATATCTCCAAGGTCAGTTGAAAAGGTGTTCACATCTTGCTACAGATTTCAGCATAACAAGATCAAGAAGACTTTGGACACCAACTTGATTTAGCTGTAAAATACCTGTAGAGACTAAAGAGATGCTTCCTGGTGGAAATCAAAGTAGAACACCTCGGTGATGAAGCCAAGTTGAGAATCTCTACTCTGCAGGGGCTTGCTACACCATCTTCACCCAGACAGAACAGCCCTAAAGGCCCAAATAGAAGCTTTTTGTTTGTTTCTTTTTGTGTTTTTTGAGATGGAGCCTCGCTCTGTTGCCCAGGCTACAGTGCAACGGCACGATCTCAGCTCACTGCAACCTCCGCCTCCTGGGTTCAAGAGATTCTCCTGCCTCAGCCTCCTGAGTAGCTGGGATTACAGGCTCGCACCACCACGTTCAGCTAATTTTTGTATTTTTAGTAGAGATGGGGTTTCACCATGTTGGTCAGGCTGGTCTTAAACTCCTGACCTTGTGATCCACTCGCCTCGGCCTCCCAAAGTGCTGGGATTACAGGCGTGAGCCACTGCACCCAGCAGTAGAAGTCTTGACAAATCAGAGTACAAAAACAGGCATGATATGAAAGGCCTGAAAACAAGACCAGATTTTGTTCTAGAAATGTCTGGCTACCTTATAAAATACTGGGAGTTAAGTGTTACAGTCTAAATGAAAGGATGGTGAAGGGGAGAACACCTGTCTTTGTGTCCCCTGTACAGCACACGCCTCATGTATGAGTGGAGACTGAATAAATGAGCGCTGTGCCAGGGAGGCCGGCCCCGGCTTTAACAAGGTCTCACGTGCAGGGCGTAGGGGATCAGACCATTCTAGCTCCATCTTCCTGAAAGACATTTCACTTGCTCTTGAAGATCACAAATAGTAACATCTGCAGCCCTCTGAAAACACAAATAAGCCATTGGCATTTCCATAGACAGAAGCCAAACCTCGGGGAACTTATTTCTAATCCAGTTGCTCCAGCTTCAGCGGGAACATGAACTCACCTTGCTGATGGGACTGGCAAATGACATTCTAAATCATCAAGATCACATATGTCTAACCAGGTTGATGTGTGAAATGTCTGGTGTTTATTTTATCTATGTTTCACATTGAGCTGAAACTTCACTGCCAAAGACGTTGGCCAAGCAGGCTTCTTTCTCAGCTGTTGCTCTACAGAACAATTTCACAAAGACAGGATGTTGTCCTAAAAAAGCATCCTCTGGTTCCCTGCTGGACAGGCCGACAGCTTGGCTGGGTATTACAAACAAACCAGGAAAGTATGTTCAGTAATGCCAGCTCATGAGGGAAGCTGGGACTATGGCTTCAAAAGTAGAGCTGTAGTGAGTTGGGGAAAAAGTGGTAAATATTTGAGGAGGTTGTTGACATCGTATAAAGGCCAGGAAAACAAAGGCTGGAAATTGTAAGGGTCCTACAGTGAAAGTACCTGAGGATAGCTAGGGGACAGAGGGGAAGATCACAACCAGCTTGAAGTGGTCCATCTGTCTGACGTGGAAGCAGAATTAAGCACAGACCACACATTGTTCCCCAGATCAGGAAAATCCCATTTGACTTCAGGTCTGCTAACATCAGGAACATCGCAGTGGTCATGGTAATAATAATAGCAGACATTTACAGCATTCATTCACAGGCACTGTACTAAGTACTTTGCATACAATTTCTCATTTGATGTTTTAAAAACTCTGAAAAGGCAAGTTTTATTACTCTCAAGTACAGATGAAGGAACTGAGACTCAGAAGTAGGAAGGAACTTACTCCAAATCCATAGCTGTGCTGTGAAAGCTGGTGTGTGAATCTCGTCACTCTAGCCTGAAAGCATGTTCTCAAAACCATTTTTGTCAATTCCAAATACAAAACAGGGACACTGCAGTGCTGTGGGGAAAAGAGTGGCCTTTTCCATTAAATGGTCTCTGGGTCAACTTGCTAATCATAGAAAAATAATGTATTTTAACCCCTGTCTCACAGCTCACAAATAAATTAATCCCAATTGAGTCACAGATCAAAAACATTTTTAGAGCAAAACATAGAAAAATAGGTGAATATCTTGGAGTAGATAATGATTCTTTACTCAAGACAAGAAAGTCCCTAACCATAATATTGATAAATTGGATTATATTGCCCTGAAGAACTTCTGTTCATCAAAAGATACTACTGAGAACAGAGAAAGGCAACCCACAGAGTGGAAGAAGATATTTATAATACATACAGGACTCATACCAAGAATATATAAATAACTTCTGCAAATCAATAAGAAAAAGACAGAAAACCAGGTTCAAAAAGTGGACAAAAGACTTGATCAGATACTTCACAAAGGAAGTATCCAAAGTGCCAATAAACATATGGAGAATTGCTTAAGTTTATCAGTCATCAGGGAAATGCAAATCACAGACCACAACGCAATCACACTACACACCCGTCAGAATGACTACATCAAAAAAGATAGGAAATCGTGAGTATTGGTGAGGATGATGTGAAGCAACCAAGACTCTGTATATATACAGGTATACACACACACACGTATATATACCTTTGTAAAATGTCACTCCTAGTGTAAACTCAACAGAAATATGTATGTATGTGTGTGTGTGTATATATATATATATATATATATATATATATATATATATATATTCACCAAAAGACATACTAGAACATTATAGCAATGCTATTTATGATGTCTGAAAAAAAAACAACTCAAATGCCCACTGACATAGAATAGAACGGGAAATTTTCCCATTCTATTTCCCATTCCCAGTTGTAGCTCATATATTCTCATTGCTATTGTGTTACTATACCATTGATGGGAAAATGAATTGCGGTGTATTAACACGATAGCGATGAGAATATATGAACTACAACTATGAGCAATAGTATCAGGACAAATCTTACAACTGTGATGTTGAGTGGAAGAAACACAAATGAGGATATTCTGTATGTTTCCTTTATTTGAAGCAGGAAAAGGGACAGAACTCTTCTATCAGAAGTCAGGTCAGTGCTTACCTAGGGAGGGTGTAGCAACTGGAACAGGGTACAGGGAGGTTGGTCTCCTCAGGTGCTGCTGATGCTCTGTGTGAGCTATGTGCTGGCTGCAAAGGTGCATTTGTTTATGACAATTTACTGAGCTGTACACTTACTGTATCAATTAGCTGTTGCCATACCAAACCATCCCCAAACCCAGTGGCAGACAATAAGCATTTATTTCTTGCCGACTGGTTTGTGTTCAGTTGTTCAAAGTTGGGCTTGGCTGTGTTGAGGGCAGGCTTCTCCACATGTCTCAATCTCCTTTAACTGGCAGCCATCCAAGGCATGGTCTCAAAGGGTGAAAGGCAGGAGCCCAAGATAGGGAAATGGAAACACACAGGCTTCTTCGGGTCTCAGCTTGGAGCTAGTGTCCTCTGACTGCTGCCACATTCCAGTGGCCAAGGCAAGTCGCAGGACCAAGCCCGACATCAGTGGAGTGGGGAAATACGCGCCTCTCAAGCTCCTCCCCATGTAAACATTTGCTCAGCAATAATCTAATCCAGGACATTTATTAGAGGTGTGGCTTACTGTGTGTATTTCGTATTTCAAAGTTTTCAAAGGAAACCAAAAAGGGTGTAGGAACCGCTATCTTCCCCTACCTCCTCCACACTACTGGGTCCCCTCCCACTTCTGGGATCTTAATGGAAAGAGGATAAGTTATGAAAATTCTCTACACAAGCACAAGGAAGAAAGGAAGGAAGAACACGTGCTTCCTAGCACACAATGCGCTTCCCGTCAGCTGGGCTGGAGAGAAATGCCTCCCTGGTCTGCCACCCCCCACCCCCGCCAGAGACATGGCGGCAACAAGTCACCCCTTCCTGTAGTTGTAGCTGAAGGGACTGCTGTAAAGTGCAGCCCCAGTTTTCCCAGCCCCTGCTCCCTTACCTTCAAGGGCTCCCTATTGTAGTCACACTGTTTAATAAAGGGTGAACTTTATCCAGTGAGAAGGAAGGAGCTGAACATTTAAAAGGCTCAACATTTCTGCAAGACAAATTGAACTTTTTGCCTCCTAACCAACAATCCTGAAAAAGTCTCTCTTATTCATCGCAGATGCAGAAGGTTTAAGCAGGCACCAAATTACTCCAAGGGTAACATCCCAGTTCCTTGGTCTTTAGATCAGACGCACTAAGAGGGACGATAAGTCTTCAGAGAGGTCTGGTTCCTACTGTAATAAGAGCATGGGATTCTGTTCCTTCTCTGTAGGTAGGGAAAGTTCAAATGTACACAATAACAATTCATCCCTCTCTTGCAACTTATCTCATATAAACTCCATCTCTAGAATCAGGCTGCCTGGTGTCAAGTCTTGGCTCTACTTGCCGTGTGACCTTGGGTAAGTGATTCGACCACTGTCACCCTCAGGTCCTCCATCTGTAAAATGGAGATTTGCTTATTCATTCAATGGACCTTTATTGAAAGACCTACTATGTGTCCGGCAGGGTGCTGGGCTCTAGGGATACAATGGCAACTGAGATGGACATGGTCCTCGCCGTCATGGAGTTTATATGAAGGGTAGAGTCAAACCGCAAACACTCTGTCACATAACCACAATCTCAGCCATAGTGTCATGAGGAAAACAAACCATAGACTGAGATGGAAAATAACAGGAGAGTCAGGAAGGTGGTCTCACCAAAAGGTGACACACTTAAGCTGAGCCTCAAAGGAAGAGCAGCTAACCAGGGGAAGTCTTGCCAGGTGCAGGGAGCAGAGCTCGGTGAACTCGGGACACTGAGAGGCCAGTGACACAAGGGGAGAATGGCTTCAGGTGAGGCTGGAGGGAGAGGTAGGAGGTGCGTCCTGCAGGGCTGGGAAGCCGGGAAGGGAGTCTGGATTTATCCTACAGGCAGGGGGCGGCCACCGAGGGGTTGAGATGATCACGTGGCTGCTGGCAAAGATGGACTTGCGAGGTGGTGTGCAGGTTAAGAATGGATGTGAGACCAGCCAGAAGCCTATTGCAGGACCCCAGTGGGTCGTGGTGCTGGCGCTGGAGATGGGGAGAAGAAGGCAGTTGAGTCAAATGGCCCCCGTGGGGCGAGAAGCCCCAGGACTCAGGACAGAATGAAGATGGGGGAGTGTGTAGGTCTGGTTTGAGTCAGTGAGTGGAGATGGCTGTGACCTCCTGATATGCGAGAAAGAGTACAGGGAGAGGTGAGGAGAAAGCAAGGTAAGCCCAGGGCTTGCCAACACTGAGGGAGGGGAAGGAAAGGGGAGGGGAGGGGAAGGGAGAGGAGGGGAGGGGAAGGGAGAGGAGGGGAGGGGAGGGGAGGGGGTATCAGCCCAGGGTCCTACAGAGGAGCAACTGATAGGGTGAAAGGAAAGCAAGGAGGGGGTGGCTCCAGAAAGGAGCATTTCAAGAAGTCAGGATGCCCATCTAAGTCCAGTGTTGCTGAGACGAGGACAGAAGCTCCAAGACACACCAACAGTGAAAATGAGTCGAGGAACCGTCTGTATAGTATATATCACATTTGTGTTTTCAAAAGTTGTGTGTTTGGAAGCGGGAGGATATTTTAGCTTATTTGCAGGTTTGCTTATGGAACAGCTCTGGAAGACTCTGCAAGACTCTGGTGACAATGGCTCCCCCAGAGGAGGGAACCGGCTAGCAGGGGATGGGGTGGAGTGAGAGAGACCTTTCACTGTGTGTCTCACCCTTTGGGAGCTTTCATATTTTTATAAAATATAAATATATGACTATATTACTATTCAAAATTACAGTTTGAAAAAAGCACCCTGCCTTGGGAGCTGCTGTGGGATAATAATAATCGTTTCCTGCGCTTCTCAGGAGGATTACTTGAGATGATGTATGTCAGCTGCTTAGCTCAGGCTCAGCGTGGCACTCCATGAGGTGAGTCGCATCCCTGTCACTGCTGCTCCAGGAAACAGCAGAGAGGGCCTTGGCCTGTGTATTCGGTTCCCAGGGTTCTCGTAACAAAGTACACAAACTGCGTGGCTTAAAACAAGAGAAATTCCTTCTCTCACACTTCTAGAGGCCAGAAGTCTGGAGTTGTGGCCGGGCCCTGCTCCCTGGGAAGGCTCTAAGGAGGAACCCTCCCTTGCCTCTCACTGCTGCTGGTGATCGTTGGTTCCCTGCATTCCTTGGCTTGCGGCTGCATCACTGCAGTCTTTGCCTCTGTTGTCACACAGCCTTCTACCTTCAGTGTGTCTGTCTTCACGTGGCCTTCTTACAAGGACACCAGTCATTAAATTCAGAGCCTACAGTAATCCAGTACGACCTTGACTTGTTAATGACATCTGCAAAGACCCTATGTCCAAATAAGGCTACATTCACAGGTACCGGGTAATTCCGAGGACACCATTTAACCCAGCTGAGCCTGGCAGTTAATATTCTCACAACCACAAACTCATCCGTGACCCAGGTGAGTCCCTTCTCATTCTGGGCATCTGGTTTCCACCTATAAAATGAAAGGGGTGACTGGAGTCGCTCTAGGCCCCAGCCCAGCCCAGAAGCACTGGGTGTCCTTAGACACTCCTGGACCGGGTCTCAGGTAGGTAAGCCGGGCATCAGGAACAGGACTGAGGAGGCCGAGGCCTGTGTGTGTTTCATGTTGCTGCAGGCGAGGGACGTGCACTGGCTGTCACTGCAGACACTGCAGCCATTGCTGAGGATTTCTGAAGTCCTGAGCCCCTAGGTTCCTGGGAACAATGAAGCTTGAACTCTGTGGCCAGAATCATAGCCCAGAGCTATACTAAGACTCAGTCCTGCCCAGCCCCCTTTTATCACCTAATTCATGGCACAAGTGCAAACTCACATTCTTGTCCAAAGAGGAGTTGGAACAAACTGGATTTAGCGCAGCAGATTCTGAGGGACATCTGAGGTCATGAACTGAGCGGGCGTGTGCTGCTGAGTCAACTCACACAGGCTGCCAGGTACCATCCTCAGACTCCGCAGGAGAGGGTGGGGAATGGGAGAAACTGGAAGAAGCTTCCAAGAGGAATTTGTGGCAAACCTGCTTTACCGTGTTGGTTCCCTTTGGGTAACCAGATTGCAATAAAAACAACAAAGACACTCTCCTCGTGTATGAGAACTTCACACCTCATGAAAAGCTTTATACCTGTTCGCTTGTTTGATTTGATTCTAAAAAGTTGTGTGCAAACAGGGACTTTGATTGCAGTTTTCCAGATAAAGAAACTAAAGCTCAGAGTGGTGCCACACAGGGTCCCTCCCAGGGGCTGCTTCTGATGGCTCATTCAGGAGGGAGACCTTTAGAATTACTGCCCAAATCTCCACCCCAAGGCACCCAACACAGTGTCAGCGTAATCATCTTCCATGGGGACACTCTGTTCTCACATTCTTGTGTAAAGTATGAATACCTGCATTTTATGGAAGATTGCTATTTGTATTGATTTATAACATACAATATAAATGAAAGCAGTGTGTTTGCTATGCAAACACAGGTTCAAGACCAGCCCAGAAGACCCCTCCCAGCACCTAAGCCGTTCCAGATGGGCCTCCTGGAGTGATCACAGTTGTTCTGACTCACAGGAGGCCAGCCAGGATGCTGCCAGGGAGGCTGCCTGTGTGAGCACGCCGTCTGCAGAAGGCAGTCTCACTCTGCTAAGACAGACAGCTTAGCGCCGGGCTCCTGCTGAGGACACTGCCCCGGGGAGAAACCCTGGGCCACCCCACTCACTGTTCTAGTCCCGGGCGGGGCCGGCAGGGCCTGGGCAGGTCAGACTTTGCTGTGGGGCTGGTTTCCACAGTGAGGGAGGAGCCGGTTCCGCTGCTGACTGGTGGGCAGCTCAATGCTTTGGCCAGTCAATGACATGGCCATTAGGCAAATATTTGGGGCTTGATTTTGGTTATGGTTTTTAAAATAGAAAATGAATAAATTAGGCTTGGGGAAGTGGTGTTTTACAGTCACGTGGGAGGAACAGGCATTGAATCTGATTGTCCTTGGGCTGCAGCTAGAATTGCAGCCTCGCCTCTGTGGCATTTAGGCGTTGGCTTAACCACAAATCACAGACCAGAGAAGGCCTCAGTGTCAGAGAAAGGCCTGGAAAGAAGGAAGCAGACACAGAGAGCCACGGACTCACCCAAGGTCACACAGCTCATATCGGGTGATTGAACTGTGTGGGGGTGGAATCACATCTGTCCAGGACATCAGCATGTCACTGGCACCCATCTGGCACCTGGCAGGGAGTGGGTGTCCATTACGTGGGATGACTGTGTGTAGGAGGGAGGAAGGCAGGCAGGGAAGGAGGGAGCGGCAGAGAGCGAGGACACAGGGCTCTCATTGTCCAGGCCCTGTGCTCTGCATCACCACTCTGAGCTTGACAGACAGAAACGGGAGACAGCGGGAGCAAGCTGTGAACAAGGGAAAGGAAGGATGGAGCAAGATGGAGAGGGTGTGGGGCCCAGAGTGGGCTCTACTTTCTCAAGCCATGCCTGACTGTCCTTGGTGATGACTCGGGCAGAGAAAGAAGAGGTACCCCAGAATGTTCTCCCCAATAATCCTGGCCCCGCGCACCCGTGCCATGGACTCTGATACCAGGCTCCCTGCCTCTTCTGCTGGAGTCCTGTGGGAAGAGGGAAGGGGAAGCTGAGAGAGAAGAGAGGGCAGGCACTCACCTTCCAGTAGGGAAGCAGCAGCAACCCTTAAATCTGCTCTGTCTTTTACCTCTGACAATCACAGGCCACGTGTAATTTGATCCCTGAAACAGCCCGGTGAGGTTCCCATTCCACAGACACAAAAAGAGAATCCCTCTGGGCTCTTGCCACATTCCTGTATGATTAGTTTTCTGGTAAACATGAATAAACCAAACTAAAAAGGGCTGTTAGTGTATTTAATTTAACAAGGAGTAATTCCTCAGTAAATCCAAGGACAGAATCTCTAATGGGCTTTGCTGATGAACTGGTCAGGAGATATTTGGAGTCCAAAAAATCTCAGCAACCACAGCTCAGTTAGCATTCTATCGAACATTTACTAGGTGCCAGAACTATCTTCTTACTCTATTGTCCCATTTACTCCTTACACCCCCGAGAGATGGGTACTATTATCATGCAGTTTCCAGACGATGAAACTCCAGTACTGAGAAGTTCACTGCCTGTCTAAGGTCATCTCGATAATCACTGGTGGCCTCAGCATACTTTTAATTATATTTCCGTGCCTATGCAAGAGACTAGCCTCCGCCAAATATTGGATCTTTGAGGGAGGGGGCAGCAGAAGGACACACTGGGGTGGTGTAATCAGCTGGTGGGGAGTGGGGGAGGGAGAAGCAAGAAGAGTAGAAGAGAATCAAGAAGGTCATTTTTTGGACAGTGGGCAAGGTAAATGAAAATCAGATATTTAAAAAGAAAATTTGGCCTGGTGCGGTAGCTCGTGCCTGAAATCCCTACACATCGGGAGGCCAAGGCAGGTGGGTCACTTGAGGTCAGGAGTTCAAGACCAGCCTGGCCAACATGGTGAAACCCTGTCTCTACTAAAAATACAAAAAATTATCTGGGCGTGGTGGTGGCGCTTTCGATCCCAGCTACTCGGGAGGCTGAGGTGAAAGGATTGCTTGAGCCCAGGAGGTCGAGGCTGCCATGAGCTGTGATTGCATCATTTCACTGTAGCCCGGGCAACAGAGTGAGACCCTATCTCAAGAAAAAAAAAAAATCACATCTGGGGCTGGGCGTGGTGGCTCACGCCTGTAATCCGAGCTCTTTGGGAGGCTGAGGCAGGGGATCACTTGAGGTCAGGAGGTCGAGACCAGCCTGGCCAACATGGAGAAACCCCATCTCTACTAAAAATATAAAAATTAGCCAGGTGTGGTGGTGGGCATCTGTAATCCCAGCTACTCTGGAGCCTGAGGCAGGTGAATTGCTTGAACTTGGAAGGCGGAGGTTGCAGTGAGATGAGATTGCGCCACTGCACTCCAGCATGGGCGACAGAGTGAGACTTCATCTCAGAAAATATATGAGTAAGAAAAAGAAAAAGAAAATCTGGGCTTTGAAAGCCCTGCATCTATTTTATTGTTTCTTAAGAACCACATCCCAGGTTGTAAAACACCTGTATGTACAGAACTTGAATGTGTTTATTGGTTCTTCAGGCATGCGTGCACATGAGGACACATCTCAGAGACTATCCTGGGGATGAGGGCTTCTAATTATATGGTATGTGAGGCTGTGTTTTCATGGAAAGTGAGCTCCTTAGACTCACAGAGTCTGGGGCTTGGTTTTGCTGCAGGAAGCTGTGTGTTTAGTAGAGCAGCCGTTCGGGCTAGTCTCTGGGGAAGAAGAAACTCTTCTCCTCCTGGTCTCAGGTGGGCTGAGCTGGGCTTGACAAGATCATTTGGTTTCAAAGAACTAGACCCTGCTTTGCAACTGAGTCTCCCCAGGAGAAGGTGTCACTAAGCACAGATTCATCCGGCCTCGAGGGGATCATGTTGTCATTTTCAGAGGAAAGCCCCAGAGTATTTTGATGGGGAACTCTCAACCCCTGACCTGCCGTTGCTACTGCAAATTTCATGAGGCTGGTTCTGTAACTTCTCACAGACCCAACAGGTTGAATCGAATCAATTAAAATCATTGCAAAACCCTTGTCTACTATTGCTGGTGATAAGTGTCCTAGGATCTGATATTTTTTGATTGATTAAGACCAGTTGCCATGGTGGGGGGAGATGGAAGCCCCAAGAAACCAAGAATTGCTCCCCTCTCGGGACCATAGTGTGCATGAGGAACATGAGCCTCATTGGAGATCCCAAGATGAGCAGTGGGGAATCAGGCCCGGAACCCACAACTCCTCCCGCCCTCTCCTCCAGCGCACTTTCCCCATGACTCCGCCCACACATGAGGCTGAGGCAGGGCACCCAGGACACAGGGCCGGAACATGCTTTTGGACATCCGGAAACTCCTCCAGCTGAACTCAATCGCTGAGCACTGATACCAACTGTGGAGCATTGTGTGAAGATGGCAGTGCTCTGGGGACCTGCGAGGTGAAGGTGCCACACTGGATGGAGACTGCCTGGTGACTCCCACTCTGGGCGGGAAAATGCCAAAGGACACTCAGCACCAGGAAACTGACCAGGAAACCTGGGAATGGCTCTCTGGGGCAGAGAGAACCTCACAGTCATCTATTTAAACTCCAGGAGCTAAATGCCACTTCTCTGTCCCTTCCTCCTAGATCTGAGTTTTAATCCCTGGGACCATGTAGAACACACCTAACTACTTTTCCAAGGATCAGAAATGTGAAGAGGGCACGTCTGCTACTCCTGCTTCCCAAGTCCTTTCCAATCCCCACCTCCCCAGATCCCTCAGTTCTTGCTCGTTTGACAAGCTCCTCATTCAGACCTGTTTGACCCTGGTTTCTCTCTTGTGGCTCTCCCCTCAGTCCGTGTCTCTAAAAGGTTATGTCCAGAACAGTGGATTGTGCCTCCCTCACTGTGGACCATATATGTCCATTAATACAACCATTAACCACATTACCTTTTTGGTTACCATTGGCCACTGACAAGGCCTACATGATACTTACTCCCTAAGACCTATAACTTGGCCAATCTTGTCTTTGTATGCATAGGGATGAAAGTTACCAACAAACTCAACTCCTCAAAGAAGTGGAAAGCCAACCTTATTAAATGGTGTTTTCAGTTGGCGACTAACCCAGCCTCCAGCCCAAACACTGTCACTCCCCAAGCTGAGACATGTGAACCTGTCGGGAGGTGCCAGGCATATCCTCAGTGCCACCCTGAGCCACACTGCACACATGTAGCAGGGTACAGCACCAGTCTCCTGGGTCTCAGACCCTTATTAAGGCAACAAACATGCTAGATCCAACGATCTTTAAGCTCAGAATTTTTTCCTTCATTGGCTGAGCTGCCACGGCACAGGATTTGTTCATTTATTGGCTGGGTCTGGGGCACCATGACCCAGAGTGGAACTTGACACAGCTCTTGTGCAGAGAAAATGGAAAGCTCCCTAGCATAACAATGACAAATCTACTCACTATGCAGGCGACTTCAACAAAGGCTTGCGAAGGCATGTGCGGGCCATGTGTCGGTGCAACACTCACATCTGGCGCCTTTCTGGTTTTTGAGAGAAGAGCGGAGCGTGCCGGGGAAACCTAAGCATTATGGTGAACTCTTCGATCCTATCCTTGGACTCCGGTGACATGGGAAATCTTCAGTTCTTTGGTTATTCAGGGAGGGGTACAGATGAGATATGAGGAACACCAGGCTGCGGGGACTGGAGCAGCCTCAACTATTCACGCGTGGGTTAGAGAGCTGCCTCCCCTCCCTCCCCGGGCCATGGTGAGAGGACTAGCCGGTGTCCACAAATGTTTGGAGCTCTTACACAGATGCATCTTACTCGTCTTTGAATCCTCAGGGACTGACACGTGCGAGGCATCTGGTCACACCAGGCCAGACCCGTTTTCTTCTTTTCTTCTTTCTATCTGCATCTCATTTTAGACATTCTAGGAATAACGTTGGCTTTAGATGAGAACTCAGAAATAACCCGAGACAAGTGGGCCTGCCCTGGGCCAAGGACCTTGGCCTCCTGCCCCTGCTGGCCAGCCCCCCTAAAGGGCGGAATCCCAGTGCTTTGCCATGGTCCCCTCCCGCACCCCATGACCACATCCTCTGGCAGCCAGGATGGACTGAATCACCTCTTGAGCTCTGTTTCCAGCCACAGATGCTGGAGGCCAAGACAAAGGGGCTGGTATTGCCAGGACCCCAGCTCTCCCCTCCACTCTTTAGCCTGATGGCCCCACGGTGGTCGGGCAGCTTCAGCAGCTGGGAGAGTGAGGGCCGGTCAACCTGGGAGCACTGTGCAGAGTAGAACCAGCTGTTTCCATGCCTTTCCGGCTCCCTTCCCACCTGGCTGGGGGCTTGGGGGATGCAGGGAAGCTGGGGTGTGTGGGAAGTGGTGGAGCTCAGCTGCCTCCCTCTGACCCACTTACTAACTCAGGAAATTCAAGGGCTTTCACAGCTGCTGAAGACGTGCCTCACCTTGACAGAACCCAGGTGGCCCAAATCCCAGAAAAACCCAAGTGGCTAGTGACAGCCGGCATTTGCCCTTCCGTTTCTGTTGTCTCCATCAGAGGGGAGAAGAAAATCTTCTAAAAAGCCAGAATTTGAAACACGCCTCTGAGGAGACGAGATCTGACTTCCTTGCTTTTGTCTATTTACTGGTTAATTTTCCCTTCTAGCCTCCTCAGTAGTATTTTCCTACAGTTCCACATGAAAACTCTTGGAAGAAACCAGTAAACTAATTGCTTCCCTTTGCTTTGTGCGTGTGTGTACGCACTTGTGTGTGTGCATGAGTATGAGCGTGTGTCTGCGTGTGTATTTTAATATTCATAAGCGACTTCGCTGAAGGCAGATACTTGGTAAGAATCACGAGAACTTTCCAGAGGAACCCTGAAGGAGACTGGGAAACATGCCAGCCAGAGGGACACAGCCTCCTTCTCCTTCCAGAGCCAACCCTACTCCATTTTCTCCTCTACACGCTACCCGAAGCCCAGCACACTTCCTCCCAGGGGTTTGTGAGCCTGCACTTTTCTATCTCGAACCTGCCTGCTGCAGACCCAGTCATTCCTAAACAGAACTAGGGTAGGGCACAGAGGCCAGAAAGCGTTGAGCAGTGCTACTGCAGAGCCTATGAAGACCAAATCCCCCAGCGCACACACAAGGTCCTTCTTAGTCCGGCTTCTACCTGCTCCTTCAGCTGCATCTCTTGATTCTGCGGACCCCTCCCCACCTCTTAACCCCAGGCATCCCCCTCTGCCCTGGCCACATCAAGCTACTTGCCAAGCCTCTTTCCCCGCCTTCCATCCGGTCTCTGCCTGACAAACTCCTAATGTTCATTCAAGGTCCAGCTCAGTGTCCAGTTCCTCAGTAAAGCTTCGTCAGAACTTCCTTCCCCCCGCACCTGGGTGAAATCGGTGTCCTGTTCTGGGCACTCCCACCACGCTCAGTACACATATTTATCACGACGCTCAATGTCCAGCATTGTAACTGGGGCTTACATACCGCTCTCTCCCTCCTGGTCTTTGAGTCTGTGACGCACAGAACAGTCTGTTGAAACTAATTTCAACAAGTAAGTTTGCTGTCTCGATAAAAACAGCCCACTGATAATAATATCCAAGAGAATTAGAACGGATGCAGTGAGGCATTTTCAAGTGCACTGACCAAATGAATTTTTCCAAAAACTTCATCAAATTTCACGTGAAGGGTAGAGTTCTCACCTGGATTTTTAAATTAAAAAGCAGCTTAAAAAACTATTAAGTCATGCTGTTGTCCAATTGTATTCGCCATTTGCAGATCGAAGTCATTGTAATCATGAATCCTGTGAATCTTGGAAAGTTTCTTATGGTATCAGGTTGTAGGCAGAAGCTGGAAGGGGCTGATGGGGACCCCCAGCTGAAGATTCTGCACTATTGTTGAGTGCCGCTGGTCATGGTGGGAACCTCAGAAACAACTCCAGGAAGGCAGAAAACACTTCTACTCTGACATTTATTTTTATTTTCTGTTTGCTTATCTGTATTTTCAACAGTATTCAGGTATTACTTTTTTAATCAGCAAAAACAATCACTTTTTAAAAGTAAAAAAGGTCGACCAATGAAACTGATTAAGACCATACAAGCTCAATAAGGAAGAGAGAAGGAAAGAAGACAGAATCTTTAATAAAGGTGTTTTTGACTGAGCACGGTGGCTCACACCTGTAATCCCAGCGCTTTAGGAGGCCAAGGCAGAAGGATCGCTAGTGGTCAGGAGTTTGAGACCAGCCTGGGCAATGTAGTGAGACCTTGTCTTTAAAAATACAATTTTAAAAATTAGCCAGGTGGCTCACACCTGCAGTCCCAGCCACTTGGGAGACTGAGGCAAGAGGATCACTTGAGCCCAGGATTTTGAGGCTGCAGTGAGCTGTGATCACGCCACTGCATTCCAGCATGGGTTACAGAGCAAGACCCTGTCTCTAACAATAAATACATTAATTAATTTGTGTGTTTTTGCCCCTAAGCTGGGGTCAAGAGACCTGATTGCTGTGTCCCAATGGCCACACCAAAATCATAAGGGGAAGAAGACAAGGAAACTGCAGGAGCTCTTTCTCTGCCCAGCTGCCACCTGCCCCAGCGTGCACTGCCCAGACAGAGCTCTGAGGTTCCCTGGGAGCACAGAAAAGGACACCACTTGTGTTTTAGACCCAGATTTGCCTTCTGTAGCCATGGGACCTGGGACAAGTCACTATGTCTCCATATCTTCACCTCTTAAGGAGATAACACAGCTGCCTGCCAGGGAAGTGAGGTCATTTTAAACTATATAGTGGTACATACATGTGAGGGGTTACTGTAATTCCTGTTGGTTTTAGAAAGAGGTGGGGTTGATAGGCATGCACGGACAGACTGATAAGCCTTTCGCAGGTTCACCAATGTTTCATGAGCTAAAAAATACTGTGATCTGCACAATTGTGTAGGTAGGTACTATTATTATTCACAATTTACAGATGACAAAAAGAGAGGAATCAAAAAGTTGAGCAAACTGCCTAACTTGCAACACAGTTATGAATAGAGGAGCTAGAATCTGAAACCTGGCAGTTGGGGGCAGGGCCTGCGTTAGTAAACATGGCTTGTGCTTACACACATCCATGCGCGTGCACACACACACACACACACACACACACGCACACGCGCGCACACACACTTCCCTTTTCCATCCCAAACGTACCACTCAGAGTCTAGTTGAATTTTGTAGTTTCAATTCTGACTTTGTTTCTTTGAAGCCCAATTGCCCTGATGCTGTTGACGGTTGACCTCCAATGAGTGGGAGGGTCACAGACACCTTTATTTTCATTTCACAGTCTTCTGCATTATTTTGATTTCTGCCCATGAGCATGCATTATATTTATAAAGATTAATTTTAAAACACATTGCCCCTCATGGGGAGGACTGTGTTTCAAAACAAAGGTTTTAAAGTTTAATGAACGTCTAAAAATCCTTTGCCATCACAGGTTTTCAGAGTCTTATTTATCAAATGCCCTGGCTGCTGGGGATCTTTCCAACTCATGCTGGAATCGGGCCTGGGTTTCCTGATTTCCCCAGCTCCAACGCTCAGCCTCAGCAGCCAAACCAGCCCGGCCCCTTCCTGTGGTTTCCAGCTCAGCCCTTCTGGTGGGAGGGAGGAGGAGAAGAGAGGATGCCCGTGTTGGGCCCTTCCCATGGGGCCCCAGTGTTTCGTGAAAACAGGGTCATGTCAATCACAGTCCAGACCTCTAAAACCTAGTAATGGAGGCTCAAGGCAGGTGAAAACATACAGGGTGATCAGAATCAAGGCAAGGAGGACTCAGGAAAGGGGACGGCACTCAGGCCAGGAGAGGGCTAAGCCCACTGGGCAGAGTTCCTGCCAGTTGGAACAGGATGGACTCCTAAAGCTCTGGCCTGGCCTCACCAGTGCTGTCTTTTCTACTTTTCTTCTGGGGTCCAGGGGCATCCAAGAGCAAGATTCCACCAGGGCAATGGACCCAGGAGGGGCTCAGGGGCCTGCCCCTGCCTGGCCTGAAACTTGGCACACACTGGTCCCATCTGGCAGCCAGCTTTAATTACGTTTCTGGACAAACACACTCTCATGCATTGGGCATCAGAGTGGGGACACTGTCAGGCAGAAGGAGGAGAGAGAGGCAGGCTGGCTCACTCCTGTTATGTGTACCCACTTAGCAATGCCACTTTAATTTCTCAAAGACATTCCCTGACAGCTCCATGCTGCGCCCGGCACAGGGAGCCTAGACCTGCTAATAGACCAGCTTGGAGGCAGCTGGAGCCTGTCTGCCCAGCTTGCCGGGGGAGCATTAATTAACCAGCTGGCGGCTCTTCTGTCTCCAGAGACCTCAGTGCTGGGATGGTCTGGGGACAATGTGCGTAGTGTGCAGGATCATCCCCAGGGTCCCACCACAGACCAAAGAATCCCTCCAATACTGAGTGCCTGAGACCCCTGAGGAGCATTTGCTTTGCTACTTCCTCCTTGGCATACAGTCAGTCAGAGCCTTTGGCTTTCTTCTCTGGCCACCTTGAGGGCATTATCAGGGCTGGGCCCCACTACTGCTGCAGTAAATGTTTGCCCGGCTGGAAAATGCTCACTCATGTTAACGAGGAAGCAATGAATGAGAAGCCTTTCTTCTCCTTTATTAAAGGCCGTACAAGCACAAAGCAGACTCTGAAATGTTATCTGTTCACAAACCTCATATGGCTAAATATTTACTGAGAATGTGATTGGCATTCCCTCAAGCAGCACAGCCAGTGTCCATGGAGTGTCAGAAACAGAAGCGGCACCCAGGCAGGCCCGTGGGCAGGGAGGCCCACCTCCAGGGAGAGCAGGTGTCCCCAGCCTGGCTTTCCAATGGAACTGCAAGCTCCCTGGGTTCCTGGACTCTCCATTGCTCCATCCTAGATGTACCTCAGGGCACTCTTCCAGCTACACAACCAGTGTGGAGCCCCTGCCTCTGGCTACCCAAGACTCCTTGGGGCTCTCCAAACACACAGGCCTTTCTCCTGATTTGGGGTGGTTTTGATTGCCCCAACTGGCACGCCCTTTCTGAAATGCCCCTTTTGCAGCATGAGGCACCCTTCTAGGTCAAGGATGGTGCGGGCTTCATCTGGGGTGCCGACTGGGATTGATTTGTGGGCACTGCCGGGAGCTTTGTGATGACCACATCCAAGCTGTGACATGACTTCTCAGGGATGTGTGCTAGGGTTGTGGGGATGTTGAGGTATATGTTTCACAGGTTTGTCATGAGTCTAGTCGCTTGTGAAGGCCATCTCCTCCAGGAAACTCTCAAGACTCCCACCGCCAAAGTACTTAATAACTGTGTTCTTGTCCTCCCTGCATTCCCTTGGAACCTAAGTCATTTGTCATTTTCTGTCTTCTATTACAACTATTTGAATCGCTTACCCCCCTTGCCATGCTAGCCTCCAGGTTCTTAGGGTAGCAACTGTGTCTCACTCATCTCTGTGTCCTCCTCAACATGTATCTTTCCTTGCTTGGAGTCAGAGCTCACTTAAGGCGGCTGAATTGAATTTCTTACCTGGGGACAGCTAGCTTAGAGTAGACTTCAAATTTAGTACAGTCCTCATGAGAGGGGTATTTTGGAAGGGAGCAGGTTGATTCTGCATTCCTGCTCTGGGGAAGGCGCTGCCTCAGGGCAGGACTGAGCAGTACGATGGGCACAGGGCAACTGGATGGGTTAGGAATGTGGGTGATAGTGGTTGCCAGATAAAATACGGACACCCAGTCAAGTTGAATGTCATTGTCTTCCAAGTATTGCGTGGAACATACTTACGCTAAAAAAATTTATTCATTGTTTTTCTGAAATTCACATTTAACTGGACGTCCTGTATTTTTATTTGTTAAATCTGGTAACTCTAGGTGGGAGTGCCAGGGAGAGAACACAAGATCATCTCCACAGACTTTCTAGAACCAATTCTGTACACTAAGCTGTGTCTTCATGGAGAAACAGCCTGGGGAGTAGGAGGGGTGCAAGACCAGCCAAGCTGGCTCCATTTCATAGCTGTCCATACTTTCAAGTCGCCTGAACTTTCAGACGAGGCTCTCTGATGGGCCTGGCTATCTGTGAAAGCCAACTCCAGTGAAGTCCAGAAATAAAACTAGGAAGCCTCCCAAAAGGTATTTTAGTGTGGTCAGCTGTAAACTTCATTAGGTAAGGACCAAGGTTGTCTCACTCATCATTTGCTCCTCAGTGGCTTGCATAGTCTTTGGCATAAAGCAGGTGCTCCAAAAATATTTACTAAATAAATAAAGAGCTGAGCACTACCTGGCCTTCTCCACCCATGGCTGGACTTACCTCACCCACAGCGATAAAAATGTGCAAAAACGGGAATTGGCACGCAGCCCTTCCTTTCCAGGAGTCATCACTGATTTCCATTAGCCAGCAAAGTGCACAAGTGCGTTAGGCTGATTTGGATTTAAAATCAATTAATGCATCCTCAGGGAGCTTGGCTACTATAAAAGCAAGATAAAACTGCATCTTCTTGAGTTAATTTATTTCAATTTAAAGGGTAATTAATATGTTTTCATTGATATGAATTTAGAAAATAAGGAAAAGTAGCATGAAGGGAGAGAAGCTTGTGCAGCCTCAAGACCTCAGGCAGACACGGTAGCACCTGAGTTCTACCTGGGTTTTGTACACCTGACTTTTCTCATCCTTCTCCACCCAGAGTCACTGGACATCTTTCTTTTCTCCAGTTTTATCTTTTTTCTCCTTGCCAAAACCTCCTGTGCAGGATGTAGTCTGATCCTGGATTTTGAAGTTTGACCAGAAGTAGATGGCCGTCATCCAGAAGAGCCCAGCAGCCAGAGGAGCCATTGACAGGGGGCAGCAGCAACAGGTAAATATAATGAAGGCCTGGCTAGGGGTGGCAGAGAGCAACAGAGGTGACATCATGGGGCAGGATTAGTGGATCTCAGTGACAGTGGTGTGTGAACCGGAAAGGAACAGTCAAGAAGGACCCCAGCTTCCTGACCCAGTGGCTAGAGGAAGGGTGAGGGTACCAGCCAGGACTCAGTTGCAAACAATAGAAACTGACTCTGGATCTCTAAGGAGGAAAAGAATGTATTAGAAGTATTTTCATTAGAGCTCACTGAATCAGTGGCAAGGCTAGAGACCCAAACTCAGAAAATAGGTAGGAACCAAGAGGGGTTGGGACCAGGGTCATGCCACAAGAACAGCCTGGTCAGGTCACAGACAAAACATCCCCACCATTGGACACTTTCTTCACCTGCCCACCTCCACTGCTGCTGTGAATGACCTCCAGACTTCATGTCACTCTCAAGAACGAAAATCCCATTCATATGGTCTGAATGCCCATGCCTACGTCATGTGCACATGCCCCATTTGCTAGGGGTCAGGAGTAGGAATGTCTGATCTCCTTCAGATTCACACACATTCTTCCAAATGGGAAAAGGGTTCGCATAATAGGAAGAAAAAAAAGACAGCAAGTGATCTCTATGGTGGCATTAAAGTTGGGTGTACAGGAAGAAGAGCAAATTTGCATGGGGTATGACAATGAAGTATCTTGGTGGAGCTGTGGAGAGATATTGACATTGGAAATGTCGATCTAGAGGTGTCACCTCTTCAAAGAGGTGACAAGCCATTTGTATAACACCCTTCCCTAGGTTACTATGGCTTCTCCAGCCATCCTTGCATTCCATCATCTTCAAACTCTGATGTCTTATGAGAAGTTCAGGGTATGAAGGCAAGGGCCCTGCAGGGGATAAAGGTTTGGCTGGCTTCTCCTTTCTCAGAAATCCCAATTCCTGGTCTTAGTTTCCAATAATTAAAAATGACTAGCAAATACGAGAAGTTTAGCTGGCTAGCGTAAGGACTTAAGGGCTGTTTTCAGTACAGCTTATTTATGGGGGAAAATCCTTGGAAGAATCACCCCTTTTCTTAGGGTTTCAGGTTCTACTCATGCTGCAGGGGCAGAAATACCTCCAGGGTAGTGCAGGGGCTTTGCAATGTTCAGAACCACAGAACCTCTGAGCTGCAATGAGACATAGGGATCACACAGTCCAATCCCCTCAGTTGATACACAAGGGCCCCAAGGCTAAGAAGATCATTAAAACTGCAGCATCCTTTCACATTCTCTGATCATGAAAAAATGACACCACCTTTCACCCACACCTCAGCCCCATCCTGCCAACACTGCCACCCAGCTGAGAGGAAGGGAGGCAGTGAATAGGATGCAGCTGGGTGGATCACCTCCTCTTCCCCTGGAGGCAGTGACGTCTGTCACTCCTAGGAGATGATTAAAATGTTGCTGCTATTGTTAAATTTTGGCAAGTAGATTCTGAATTATTCTCCCGGGGGGCTGGCCATGAGTCACCACAGTACATCCTCAGGAAGGAGCTGGCTGAACTCCTGAAATGGCCAGATCCTGCAGTGAACTGAGGACCCAGCAGTGTCACAGCACTGCAAATGGGCTGTGAACTGGAGGCTCTGGTGGCTGCCACCATCAGGAGTGGCGGGACTTGACATAGAGGAGAGACCAGAAACCCACCTCTGGTGTTGGCATCACTGATCATGCAGTTCATACAGGACAATCGCCTATGGGAAGACCCGCTGTGATGGAGGAAGAGTGGAGGAAAGGCCAGCCAGTGCCCTGCACAGAGAAGCTAGTCAAGAAAGGCTCGCCTCTGCCAGTCAACATAGCAAGACCTTATCTGTACAGAAAATGGAAATGTTAGCTGGGCATGGTGGTGGAGGATGCCTGTAGTCCTAGCTACTTGGAGGCTGAAGTAGGAGGATCACTTGAGCCCAGGAGTTTTAGGCTGCAGTAAGCAATGATCATGTCACTGCACCACAGCCGGGGCAGCAGAGAGAGACTCCACCTCTAAAGAAAATAAATTAATAAAAATAAAATAAATAAAGACATGCCTCCTCTTTTTCTTCTTATAGGAGGTGGGCCTCAGGCAGGACCTTGAAGCTGACTACGTCTCCTTTCTTTCTCCCATAGGCAGAAACAGGGAACTGTCTGGGGGAAGGGATGTTGATAGGTACTGGGACTCCAGGAGAGTCCAATCCTGCATTTTTAGTGATTAACCTACATGCTGTGGATAGCTGCACAAGAGGGACATTCACCAAAAGTGAAAGGAAGCAGGAACACAGCAATCCCAGGTTACATGAAGGAGGTGAATGGCTCTATGACATGGAAAGAGAGTCCTGGGTGAGTAAATGAAGAAATGAAGAAATGAATGAATACTGCTATGTCCACAGTACCTATTGGCTGTGTTATACTCTGGGATGAAAAAGCACTGAGACTGTGCCCATGGTCTCCCCTTCCCTTCCTCCACCTCTCTACACGTCCAAGACCCCATCCTTCCATGTGGCACAAATGTCTTGCCTGGCCAGACACAGTGGCTCACACCTGTAGTCCCAGCACTTTGGGAGGCCGAGGTGGAGGTGGGTGGATTGCTTGAGCCCAGGAGTTCAAGACCAGACTGGGCAACATGGTGAAATCCTGTCTCTACAAAAAACACAAAAATTAACCATGCATGGTGGCACATGCCTGCAGTCCCAGTGTGTTAGTCCATTCTCAGGCTGCTAATAAAGACATACCCAAGACCAGGCAACTTACAAAGAAAAAGAGGTTTAATGGACTTGCAGTTACACATGGCAGGAGAGGTCTCACAATCATAGCAGAAGGTGAAGGAGAGGCAAAAACACATCCCACATGGAGGCAGGTGAGAGAGTATGTGCATGGGAACTGCCCTTTATAAAACCATCAGATCTAATGGGACTTACACCCTACCGTAAGAACTGTATGGGGGAAACCGTCGCTATGATTCAATTGTCTCCACCTGGCCCTGCCCTTGACATTTGGAGATTATTACAATTCAAGGTGAGATTTGGGTGGGGACACAGAGCCAAACCATGTCTTTCCACCCCGGCCCCTCCCAAATCTCACTTCCTCACATTTCAAAACCAATCATGCCTTCCCAACAATCACCAAAATCTTAACCCATTTCAGCATTAACTCAAAAGTCCACAGTCCAAAGTTTCTTCTGAGACAAGGGAAGCTCTTGCCACCTATGAGCCTATAAAATAAAAGCAACTTAATTACCTCCTAGATACAGTGGGGGTATGGGCATTGGATAAATACACCTGTTCCAAATGGAAGAAATTGGCCAAAATGAAGAGGTTAGAGGCCCCATGCAGGTCCAGAATCCAGCAGAGCAGTCAAATCTTAAAGCTCCAAAATGATCTCCTTTGACTCCATGTCTCATATTCAGGTCATGCTGATGAAAGAGGTGGGTTCCTATTGTGTTGAGCAGCCTCCCTCCTGGCTGCTTTCATAGGCCAGAATTGAGAGTCTGTGGCTTTTCCAGGTGCACAGTGCAAGCTGTCAGTGGATCTATGCTTCTGGGGTCTGGAGGACAGTGGCCCTCTTCTCACGGGTCCAGTAGACAGTGCCCCAGTGGGTCTGTGTGGGGTCTCCCACCCCATATTTCCCTTCCTCACTGCCCTACCAGAGGTTCTCCATGAGGCCTCCACCCCTCCAGCACACATCTCTCTGGACATCCATGTGTTTCCATACATCCTCTGAAATCTAGCTGGAGGTTCCTAAAACTCAATTCTTGACTTCTATGCACCTTCGGACAAAACATAGGTAAGCTGCCAAGGCTTGGGGCTTGCACCCTCTGAAGCAAAGGCCTGAGCTATACCTTGGCCCCTTTCAGCCATGGCTGGGATGCAGGGCACAAGTTCCAAGACTGCACAAAGCAGCAGGGCCCTGGACCCAGCCCACAATACCATTTTTTTCCTCCTAGGCCTCTGGCTTGTGATGGGAGGGCCTGACATGGAGACCTCTGACATGCCCTGGAGACATTTTCCCCATTGTCTTTGCAATTAACATTTGGCTCCTTGTTACTTATGCAAATTTCTGCAGTCAGCTTGAATTTCTCAGAAAATGGGTTTTTCTTTTCTATGGCATCATCAGGCTGCAAACTTTCCAAACTTTTATGCACTGCTTCCCCTTTAAACATAAGTTCCAATTCCAAACCATGTATTTGTGAATGAATAAAACTGAATGTTTTTAAAAGCACCCAAGTCACTTCTTGAATGCTTTGCTGCTAAGCAATTTCTTCCACCAGATACCCTAAATCATCTCTCTCCAGTTCAAAGTTCCACAGATCTCTAGGGCAGGGGCAAAATGCCACCAGTCTCTTTGCTAAAGTGTAGCAAGAATCACCTTTGCTTCGGTTCCCAATAAATTCCTCATCTCCATCTGAGACCACCTCAGCCTGGACTACATTGTCCATACCAATATCAGCAGTTTGATCAAAGCCATTCAACGAGTCTCTAGGAAGTTCCAAACTTTCCCACATCTTCCTGTCTTCCAAGCCCTCCAAACTGTTACAACTTCTGCCTGTTACCCGGTTCCAAAGTCACTTCCACATTTTTGGGTATCTTTACAGCAGCACCCCACTACCTGGTACCAATTTACTGTATTAGTCTGTTCTCATGCTGCTAATAAAGACATACCTAAGACTTGGCAACTTACAAAGAAAAAGAGGTTTAATGGACTCACAGTTACACATGGCTGGGGAGGCCTCACAATCATGGCAGAGGGCGAAGGAGGAACAAAGCCACGTCCTACATTGCAGCAGGCAAGAGAGTGTGTGCAGGGGAACTACCCTTTATAAAACCATCAGATCTTGTGAGACTTATTCACTCTCACAAGAGCAGCACAAGCAAAACCAGCCCCCATGATTCAGTTATCTCCCACCAGGTCCAACAATATGTGGGGATTGTGGGAGCTGTAATTCAAGATGAGATTTGGGTGGGGACACAACAAAATCATATCACCTAGCTACTTGGGAGGCTGAGACAGGAGGATCACCTGAGCCCAGGAAGTCGAGGCTGCGGCGAGCCACGATTACATCACTGCACTCCAGCCTGGGTGAAGGAGTGAGAACCAGTCACAAAAAAAAGAAAGAAAGAAAGAAAGAAAGAAAGAAAGAAAGAAAGAAAGAAAGAAAGAAAGAAAGAAAAGCCATGCCCTCTACTAGGAAGCCTTTTCTGATTCACCAACTCAGAAATTCTTTTTCCTCTGTCCTCCCAAGGGCCTTACCTCCACTCACACAAGGCCCTTATTTCTAGGCTGAATGATGGTTATTGACGTGTGTCTCACCTCCCTGTGCCCTCCCAGTGCTCAGGGCCTAAAGAACCCCTTGCAGAGCGTGCTAAGGATGTCTTACTCTCCAAGGACTCCCAAACCCTTTCCACAACTCCTAATATTAAGAAAAGACCTGTTTTCCCCTGACCTCCTTTGTCTAGGATTGTTTGAGTGACTTTGGTAACAACAGACCTTTGAATAGAAATGAAATAGAGATATGTTTCTTGGACAAGCGGAGGTGGCCTCAGAAAGGGAAAGGGTCCTGGGCTGGAAATCATGTCTTCCAGCAGAGGAAGAACAAACAGATCCAAGCTGAAGTAAATGAAAACCCATCTCAGGGCTCAGGACAAGGCCTAGGGGCCAGGAGGAGATGACCATGGTGGATGCTTTGGAGGATGAGAAAAGTAGGGAGGAAGAAGCCTCCAGGTGCAGGGGAAGAGAGGGGGATGCGTAGAGTGGGACTTGAGAGCCAGCTTCCCTGTGTGGCTCTCCTTGACTTAACCAGTGGTGTGCCTGTGCCCTGATACTAATCGAGAAGTGGACTTCCACAGGATGCTCCCTGGAGTGCTCAATAAATGTTGATAGAATAACCCTGATAAGAACAACAGGCAATTTTTTTTCGAGTACTTGTAATGTACCAGACGCTGTTCTAGTTCTTCCTCTTTTTTTTTTTTAAATGTATCTCTTCATTAAATCTTCTCATCAACCTGCGAGGTATTTAGTATTATCAACCTCATTTTACAGATCATGAATTGGAGGCACAGAAATATTAATTAACTTATCTGCAGCCACGCAGCTAGTGAATCATAAAGCTGGCACTTAACCACTGTGCAATAGGGCAAGGGTTTAATACTAAAGCATGTGCTCACCTAATTTCGCCCCAACTTATTTCACTCCTGCTCCAGATATATTCTAAGAGATGAAAAAATTTCTCTTTTAGGGAATAATTAATAGCCTTGAAGCTCAAGTAATAATTTTTGTAGTAATCTGCAGAAAAAGCCCTCTTCAAAGAAGCAATTAAAATAATATTCCAATTACCTGTGAAGGTTTACTTCAGTGCAATTCAATTTTTACTGTATTTTGTATCTACTAGAACTCAAACAAATTGAGGGGAAAACAGACTTTTGTTTGAATGAAAGGGAGGCTCAGAACAATGAAAAAAAAAGCTGATTTAAAAAGTAACCTTCAGGCCCACCTGAGTGCATGCAACAGGTTTATTCATATCTACACAGATATTGAACTCATTCTTCTTGAACCCATTTCCGTGATTTGAACAGACTATAAATCAACAGCTCTGCATAATTTTTGAAAAATAAGTGCTTTCCTGCCTAAGAATGTGGCTTGTATATTGGCAGTGTATGGAGTTAGGATGCTTTCAGCTGCAAATAATAGAAGACCCGTGACTCAAATTGGTTTCAGGATAAGAACACGTATCATTTCCCATAGCTGGAAGTCCAGAGGAGGTGAAAGCCCAAGCTTGAATCAATCAGCAACTCAATAAAGTCATCAAGGGCTGTTTTTTTCCCACTCTGCTGTCCTCCGTTTTCTCTGAGTCCTCAGGCTGTCTGCCAGATGTCTGTGGCAGCCCCAGGTGTAGCATCCAGAAACAACACCCAGAGGAATGACAGACGCTGTCTATTTTCTGTGTCTTTTTTTTAGAAGCAAGAAAACCTCTTCCAGAAGACTCCCAGCAGGCCGGGGGTGGTGGCTCATGCCTGTAATCCTAGCACTTCGGGAGGCAGAGGAGGGTGGATCACGAGGTCAGGAGTTCAAGACCAGCCTGGGCAAGATGGTGAAACCCCGTCTCTACTAAAAATAGAAAAATTAGCCAGGCGTGGTGGCGGGCACCTGTAATCCCAGCTACTCAGGGGGCTGAGGCAGAGAATTACTTGAACCTGGGAGGCAGAGGTTGCAGTGAGCCGAGACTGTGCCATTGCACTCCAGCCTGGGCGATAGAGTGTGACTCTGTCTCAAAAAAAAAAAAAAAAAAAGACTCCCAACAGACTTCTGGTCAATACCTTTGTTGAACCTGGGTCATTTGCTTGTTCCTAAAGCAATCACTGGCTTAGGCCACCACTGTTGAAGAGCCAGCCACTCTGACCACCGGAGAGACACTAGCCATTTCCAAGTTGTATTTTTGAAACCAATGCCATTTCTTTGTCCAGATATCAAACATTTAATAATCCACGGAAATAAAAATCTTTAATAAGATAAGAACCTGAAATTTCATACTAAGAGTAGGTAGGCAGTTTCTCCTAACAATGAATTGTCCCTATGGCCAAATTTTTTTTTTTTTTTGAGACCGAGTCTTGCTCTGTCTCTCAGGCTGGAGTGCAATGGCGTGATTTCATCTCATTGCAACCTCCACCTCCTGGGTTTAAGCGATTCTCTGGCCTCAGCCTCCTGAATAGTTGGGATTACAGGCGCGTGCCACCACGCCCAGCTAATTTTTTGTGTTTTCAGTAGAGATGGCGTTTTACTGTGCTAGCCAGGTTGGTCTCACTCTCCTGACCTCATGATCCGCCCTCCTCAATCTCCCAAAGTTCTGGGATTACAGGCATGAGCCACCGCGCCCGGCCCAAATATTATTTTTAATGAGACAGAGCAGCTTGCTATTTAGAAGAGCTGTTTGGTGGAACATTTTTTCATTAAAAAATGATGAGAGCTTCATGTTAAAATGATGTTTTGAATGTACGCCTTAATCTCTCTATCTCTAAATGTCACTTAAGAAGTAATGAGAAATTGGCCAGGCGCAGTGGCTCATGCCTGTAACCCCATAACTTTGGGAGGCCAAGGTGGGTGAATTGCTTGATTCCAGGAGTTTGAGACCAGCCTGGGCAACAGGAAGAAACCCTGTCTCTACAAAAAATACAAAAATTTAGCTGGGCCCTGTGGCGCTTGTAGTCCCAGCTACTCAGGAGGCAGAAGTGGGAGGATCGCTTGAGCTGGGGAGATTGAAGCTGCAATGGACTGTAATCACACTACCACACTCCAGACCTGGGCGACAGAGACCTTGTCTCAAAAAAAAAAAAAAAGTAGAAATTAAACAAAATGCATAATGCCATAATGACAGAGAGTGAGAAAGCAGTCAACAACAAAATTTCAGAAGCCGGAAACCAGAGGGAAGAGTATCTGACTTAGAAGGCCTGAGGAAGCTGAATTCTAAGTCATCAGGAAAGCCAAGAAATATCCTGATTTTATATTGAAGATCTCTATAAAGTCTCAAGAATTGGTAGCACTAGGTACCTCTGGAAGCGTAGGTGGAGGGCTAAACTGTTGGTTAAATGTCTGTATAGGAAATAATTGGACCTCTGATTCCTTCCCCTACTCTACATAGTGGGTGCTGCCCTCTGAAAAAGACTAGAGGCGGGTTCTCACCAGAATAAAAAGAGGGTCAGCATTAAAGGAACACGGGAAATCCAGGGCAGGTGTATCATCCAGCACATAGGGCAACTAAGTGAAAGCTCACAAATGATAGGTTGAAATCACCAATTTTTTTTGCCCATCCAGCATCCTGAATACTTGAAACCAGGTTATATCCTTCAGGTATGAGATGAAAGACTAGTCTCTGGGTCAGCTGAACAGCCCGAGAGAGAAGATAAAAGGATATTGATATTAGAGGTCCCCAGCCAGATCATCCTGCAGTGAAAACCAGTTGAAAAGGCCTCCTGCTTCCTGAACTTCAAGTCAGTTGTTAAGGCCTCTCTCTCTCTAAGAGACAGGGTCTCTCACTTTGTCACCCAGTCTGGAGTGCAGTGGCACAATCGTGGCTCACTACAGCCTTGACCTCCCAGGCTCAAGCAATCCTCCTACCTCAGCCTCCTGTGTAGCTGTGACTACAGGCACATGCCACCATGTCCAGCTAATTTTTTTTGTTTTAATTTTTGTAGAGACAAGTTCTTGTTAGGTTGCCCAGGCTGGGCTTAAACTCTTGGTCTCAAGTCATCCTCTCACTTTGGCCTTCCAAAGTCTTGGGGTTACAGGCGTGAGCCATCGTGCCTGGTCAAGGCTGCTCTTTTAAACATATACAGACAGCAAAAGATCACCAGGTATTGGTGGAAAGTCTCTAATGTCAAACAGTCCATAACAAACAAACAGAAAGGAAAAAGTAACTTGGATGCAAGAGACCGTACATGGAGAATAAAGCCTTTTTCTAAAAAACCTGAAATAATCATTAATAGCCTCACAGAGACAAAATATTACATCTATGAAATAGAGATAGGATACTATAAAAAGAGTGAAAGCCTTCATAAATTAAAAACATGAAAGCATAAATGAAAAACTCAATAGAAGGATTAGAAAACTAAGATGGAGAAATCTTCCAGAAAGTAGAACAAAAAAGCAAAGGGATAGAAAATAGGGAAGAAAATATTTTTCAAAAAATAGAGGACAAGTTGTGGAAATCTAATATCCAAACAATAGGAGTTCCAGAAAGAAAATGGAGGAGAAGAAATCATAGAAGGAATAGTTTAAGAAATTTTCTTTGAATTCAAAGATATACATTTCTAGACCAAAAGTGTCTACTAAATGCCCAGTACAATGAACAAAACTGGATTCATGCCAGGCACATCATTGTGAAATTTCAGAATGATGGAAACGAGAAGGGCTAAGGGAAAGTTGCATCCTCAGTGTAGGCAGGTGCCACCGAGTCAGCGGGAGCCCAGATACAACAAGAAGGCAGAGAAAAGGTGAATTTTGCTTTCTCTTGGAGCTGGGACTCCCTTCCTCTGTTGGACATCAGAACTCCAGGTTCTCCAGCCTTTGGACTCCAGGACTTGTACCAGCAGCCCCCAGGTTCTCAGGCCTCTGGCCTAGGACTGAGAGTTACACCATCAGTTTCCCTGTCTCTGACATCTTTGGACTTGAACTGAGCCATGTTACTGGCCTCCCTGGTTCTCCAACTTAAAGACAGCAGCCTGTCATGAGACTTCTCAGCCTCTGTAGTCATATGAGCCAATTCTGCTAAAAAATCCCTATCTATCTATCTATCTATCTATCTATCTATCTATCTATCTATCATCTATCTATCTTATTGCTTCTATCTTTCTGGAGAACCCTGACTAATACAGAGAAAAACTGATTTCATTCAAAGAAACAGGAATCAGAATCAGAATGCGTTGAGTTTCACAATGACTAAGTTGGAAACAACATGACAATGGCACAGTGCTTTCAAAATTGAGAGATGATATTTTTCCACCTAAAATTCCACATCAATTAAGTATGAGAATAAACTAAAAACTTCTTCAGTTGTGTCAGGACAGGAACAAAAATTTACTTACTATGCGCTCTTTCTTTTTTTTTTTTTTTTTTTTTTGAGACGGAGTCTCGCTCTGTCGCCCAGGCTGGAGTGCAGTGGCGGGATCTCGGCTCACTGCAAGCTCTGCCTCCCAGGTTCACGCCATTCTCCTGCCTCAGCCTCCCAAGTAGCTGGGACTACAGGCGCCCGCCACTACGCCCGGCTAATTTTTTGTATTTTTAGTAGAGACGGGGTTTCACCGTTTTAGCCGGGATGGTCTCGATCTCCTGACCTCGTGATCCGCCCGCCTCAGCCTCCCAAAGTGCTGGGATTACAGGCGTGAGCCACCGCGCCCGGCCTATGCGCTCTTTCTTAGAAAAGGAGAGAAAGAACTTGTTTCACCAAAATGATTGAGAAAGCTGAGAAAGAAAAGAATATGGGATTCAAAACAGAGGAAATCTGAATCTAGAAAGAGGTGAAAGAACTCCCAGATTGGATCAGATCTATGAGCGGCTTCTTTAAGAAAATTAAATTGACAGAATTCTTAGTGTGCTTGAACATATTAAGAGAAAATGTACACATTCAAGAGAGTTTAAATTGGTGTTTAGTACATAGAAACCTTAGCAAATGGGAAAAAAGAAGGCAATTATTAACTCCAGGGTAAACAAAAAGTTGTGAGGAGAAAGAAAAGGAATTGTAGTACTCATCATGGCTCACCTATAAATAGCATTTACAAAGTCAATATAAAGTAAATAATGAATATGGATCTAATCCAAACTACTATATACTATATCAGGAGGGCAGGAAACCAGGAAATGTATCTTCATGGATGTGTGCCTATATGATGGTGTTAAAGGAACAGAGAAATGTGCTAGAGCCTCACCTTCCACAGTGGGGAGTCAGTAGATGATGCCTGAGCTGCAAAATCAATAAATAACAATATAAGCATCTGTGAAAGGAATTACCAAAGGAATCAGTTGAAAGATTTGAAAATAGTTGCCTTAGGCTAGTGAGAAATAGGGTAGGGGTGGGAACTGCTTTTCTCAATGGCAAGCAGAGCTATTTGACTCTTTTTTTAAAAAATGCATCTAACTTTTTAAATATTTAAAATTATGCTTTATGATTTCAATAGTTTTTGGGGAGCAGGTGGTGTTTGGTTACATGGACAAGTCCTTCAGTGGTGATTTCTGAGATTTTGGTGTACCCATCACCCCAGCAGTGTACACTGCACACAATGTGTAGTCTTTTATCTCTCACTGACTTCCTACCCTTCCCCCCAAGTCCCCAGAGTTCATTATATCGTTCTTATGCCTTTGTGTCCTCATAGCTTAGCTCCCATTTGTAAGTGAGAATATACAGTGTTTGGTTTTCCATTCCCAAGTTACTTCACTTAGAACAATAATCTCCAACTCCATCCAGATTGCTATGAATCCCATTATTTCATTCATTTTTATGGCTGAGTAGTATTTCATATCCAATGGTATGTGTGTGTGTATATATGTATATATATGTGTGTGTGTGTATATATACGTACATATGTGTGTGTGTATATATGTGTGTGCATATATATGTATATATATCCCTCACAGTTTCTTAATCCACTCTTTGGTTGACAGGCATTTAGGCTGGTTTCATATTTTTGCAATTGCAAATTGTGTTGCTATAAATATGCATGTGCAAGTTTCCTTTTTATAAAATGACTTATTTTCCTCTGGATAGATACCCAGTAGTGGGACTGTGGGATCAAATGGTAGTTCTGCTTTTAGTTCTTTAAGGAATCTCTATACTGTTTTCCATAATGACCGTACTAGTTTAAATTCCCACCAGCAATGTAATTGCTCCCTTTTCACCACATCCATGCCAACATCTATTATTTTTTGATTTTTTAATTATGGCCATTCTTGCAAGAGTAAGGTGGCATTGCATTGTGGTTTTGATTTGCATTTCCCTGATAATTAGTGATGTTGAGTATTTTTCATAGGTTTGCTGGTCATTTGTATATCTTCTTTAGAGAATTGTCTATTCATGCTCTTAGCCCACTTTTTGGTGGGATTATTTGTTTTTTTCTTGCTGATTTGTTTCAGTTCCTTGTAGATTCTATGTATTAGTCCTTTGTTGGATGCAGAGTTTGCGAAGATTTTCTCCCACTCTGTGGTTGTCTGTTAACTCTGCTGATTCTTTCTTTTGCTGTGCAGGAGATTTTTAGTTTAATTAAGTCCCATCTATTTATCTTTGTTTTTGTTGCATTTGCTTTTGGGTTCTTAGTCATGAACTCTTTGCCTAAGCTAATGACTAGAAGGGTGTTTACGATGTTATCGTCTAGAATTTGTATGGTTTCAGGTCTTAGATTTAAGTCTTTGATCCATCTTGAGTTGATTTTTGTATAATCTAGGAGATGAGGATCCAGTTTCATTCTTCTGCATGTGGCTTGCCAATTATCCCAGCACCATTTGTTGAATAGGGTGTCCTTTCCCCACTTTATGTTTTTGTTTGTTTTGTCAAAGATCAGTTGGCTGTAAGTATTTGGCTTTATTTCTGGGTTGTCTATTCTGTTCCATTGGTTTACATGCCTGTTTTTATACCAGCACCATCCTGTTTTGGTAACTATAACCTTGTAGTATAGTTTGAAGTTGGGTAACATGATGCATCTGGATTTCTTCTTTTTGCTTAGTCTTGCTTTGGCCATGCAGACTCTTTTTTTGTTTCATATGAGTTTTAGAATTGTTTTTTCTAGTTCTGCAAAGCATGATGGTGGTATTTTGATGGGAATTGCATTGAATTTATAGATTACTTTTGGCAGCATGGTCATTTTCACAATATTGATTCTACCCACTCATAAGCATGGGATGTGTTTCCATTTGTTTGTGTCATCTATGATTTCTTTCAGCAGTGTTTTGTAGTTTTCCATGTAGAGGTCTTTCACCTCCTTGGTTATGTATATTCCTAAGTATTTTATTTTATTTTTGCAGCTGTTGTAAAAGGGGTTGAGTTCTTGATTTGATTCTCAGCTTAGTCACTTTATAGCAGTGCTACTGATTTGTGTACACCGATTTTGTATCCTGAAGCTTTACTGAATTCATATATCAGATCTAGGAGCTTTTTGAATGAGTCTTTAGGGTGTTCTAGGTATATGATCATATCATCAGCAAACAGTGACAGTTTTACTTCCTCTTTACCAATTTGGATGCCCTTTATTTCTCTCTCTTGTCTGATAGCTCTGGCTAGGACTTCCAGTACTATATTGAATAGAAGTGATGAAAGTGGGCATCCTTGTCTTGTTCCAGTTCTCATGGGGAATGCTTTAAACTTTTCCCCGTTCAGTATAATGTTAGCTGTGGGTTTGTCAAAGATGGGTTTTATTACCTTAAGGTATGTCCCTTCTATGCTGAATTTGTTGAGAATTTTAATCATAAAGGGATGCTGGATTTTGTCAAATGCTTTTTCTACATCTATTGAGATGATTATATAATTTTTGTTTTTAATTCTGTTTATGTGGTGTATCACATTTATTGACTTGCGTATGTTAAACCAACTCTATATCCTTCATGTGAAACCCACTTGATCATGGTGGATTATCTTTTGTATATGCTGTTGGATCCAGTTATTTTGAATAACTGAATTCTAGTATTTTGTTGAGGATTTTTGCATCTATATTCATCAGGGGTATTGGTCTGTAGTTTTCTTTTTTTGTGTTATGTCCTTTCCTGGTTTTGGTATTAGGGTAATACTGGCTTCATAGAAGGACTTAGGGAGGACTCCCTCTTTCTCTATCTGTTGGAATAGTGTCAATATGATTGGTACCAATTCTTCTTTGAGTGTCTGACAGAATTTAGCTGTGAATCCATCTGTCCTGGACTTTTTTTGTTGGCAATTTTTTTTTATTACTGTTTTAATCTCACTACTCGTTATTGGTCTGTTCAGAGTTTCTATTTCTTCCTGATTTAATCTAGAAGGGTCGTATATTTCCGGGAATTATCCATCTCCTCTAGATTTTCTAGCTTATGTGCATAAAGATGTTCATAGTAGCCTTGAATGATCTTTTATATTTTTGTAGTATTGTTTGTAATATCTCCCATTTCATTTCTAACTGAGCTTATTTGGGTGATCTCTCTTCTTTTATTGGTTAATCTCACTAATGGTGTATTGGTTTTGTTTATCTTTTCAAAAAACCAGCTTTATCTTTCCAAAAACCAGCTTTTTGTTTCATTTATCTTTTGTATTGTTTTTGTTTGTTTGTTTCAATTTCATTCAGTTCTGCTCTGATCTTTGTTATTTCTTTTCTTCTGCTGGGTTTGGGTTTGGTTTGTTCTTGTTTCTCTAGTTCCTTAAAATGTGAGCTTAGATTGTCTATTTGTGCTCTTTCAGACTTTTTTGATGTGGACATTTAATGCTGTGAAGTTTCCTCTTAGTAGTGCTTTTGCTGTATCCCAGAGGTTTTGATAGGTTGTGCCACTATTATTGTTCAGTTCAAATAATTTTTTATTTTCCATTTTGATTTTATTGTGACCCAAAGATCATTCAGGAGCAGACTATTTAATTTCTATGTATTTGTATAGTTTTGAGGGTTCCTTTTGGAGTTAATTTCCAATTTTATTCCACTGTGGTCTGAGGGAGTATTGAATATAATTTCTATTTTTTCAAATTTATTGAGACGTTTTGTGGCCTATCATATGGTCTATCTTGGAGCATGTTCCATCTGCTGATGAAAAGAATGTATATTCTGCAGTTCTTGGGTGGAATGTTCTGTAAATATCTGTTAGGTTCATTTTATCTAGGGTATAGTCCATTGTTTCTTTGTTGACTTTCTGTCTTGATAATCTATCTAGTGCTGTCAGTGGAGTATTGAAGTCCCCTACTATTATTGTGTTGCCATCTATCTCATTTCTTAGGTCTAGTAGTAATCGTTTTATAAATTTGGAATCTCCAGTTTTATAAATTTAGGATTGTGATATTTTCCTGTTGGACCAATACTTTTATCATTATACAATGTCCCTTTTTGTCTTTTTGCTTTAAAGTCTGCTTTGTCTGATATTAGAATAGTGACTCCTGCTCTCTTTTGGTTTCCATTTGCATGGAATGTCTTTTTCCACCCCTTGATTAAGTTTCTGTGAGTCCTTATGTGTTCAGTGAGTCCCTTGAAGACAGCAGATACTTGGTTGGTGGAGTCTTACTTGCCATTCTGTATCTTTTAAATGGAGCATTCAGGCCATTTACATTCAATGTTTTTATTGAGATGTGAGGTACTGTTCTATTCATCATGCTAATTGTTGCCTAAATACCTTAGTTTTTTTTTTTCTATTGTGTTATTGTTTTATAGGCCCTGTGAGATTTATGCTTTAAGGAGGTTCCATTTTGGTGTATTTCAAGATTTTGTTTCAAAATTTAGAACTTCATTTAGCATTTCTTATGGTGCTAGCTTGGTAGTGGCAAATTCTCTCAACATTTATTTGCCTGAAAAAGACTTTATCTCTCCTTCATTTATGAAGCATAGTTTCCCTAGATACAGAATTCTTGGCTGACAATTATTTTGTTTAAGGAGGCTACAGATAGGACCCCCATCCCTTCTGGCTTGTAGGGTTCCTGCTGAGAAATCTGCTGTTAATCTGATAGGTTTTCATTTATAGGTTACCTGATGCTTTTGCCTCATGGCACTTAAGATTCTTTCCTTTGCCTTGACTTTAGATAATCTGATGACTACGTGCCTAGATGATGACATTTCATGATGAATTTCAGGGTGTTTTTTGAGCTTCTTGTATTTGGATGTCTATATCTCTAGCAAGACCAGGGAACTTTCATTTGATTACTCCCTCAAATAAGTTTTCCAAACTTTTAGATTTCTCTTCTTTCTCAGAATACCAATTACTCTTATGTTTGGTCATTTAACATAATCCTAAGTTTCTTGGAGGCTTTGTTCATTATTTCACTTCTTTTCCTTGTCTTTGTCAGATTGGGTTAATTACAAAGCCTTGTCTTTGAGCTCTTAAGTTCCTTCTTCTACTCATTCGAGTCTATTGTTGAAACTTTCTCGTGTATTTTGCATTTCTCTAAGTGTGTCTTTCATTTCCAGAGGTTGTAATTGTCTTTTCTTTATGATATCTATTTCTTTGGAGACTTTTTCGTCAATATTCTGTATTTTTAAAAAATTTATTTATGTTGGTTTTCGCCTTTCTCTGGTTCCTCCTTGAATAGCTTAATAATCAACCTTCTGAATTCTTTATCTGGCAATTCAGAGATTTCTTCTTGGTTTGGATCCATTGCTGGAGAGCTAGGATGATCTTCTGGAGGTGTTATAGAACCCTGTTTTGTCATATTACCAGAATTACTTTTTTGGTCTCTTCTTATTCATTTGGGTAGACTGTTTCAGTCAAAAGATCTGAAACTCAAGTTCTGCTGTTCAGATTCTTTTGTCCCACAGGGTGATTCCTTGATGTGGTGCTCTCCCCCTTTCCCTAGAAACGGGGCTTCCTAAAAGCCAGATTGCAGTGATCGTTATTGCCCTTCTGGGTCAAGCCACCCAACAGGGCTACTGGGCTCCAGGCTGGTGCTGGTGAATGTCTGCAAAGAGTCCTGTGATGTGATCCATCTTCAGGTCTCCCAGCTGTGCATACCAGCATCTACTCTGGTGGAGGTGGCAGAGGAGTGAGGTGGACTCTGGGAGTACTTGGTTGTAGTTTTTTTAGTGCACTGGTTTTCTTGAATGTGGTTATGCTTGCAGTGAAGTTGTCACATTGACAGACTCAGGACCTCTGGTTGGCTAGGGTGTTGCAGGCAGTGGAATTAGCTATTGTTATCTCCATTTTTGGAGGAGGGTGGTTCTGTTATGAGTTGCTGTAATGTCTTGAGTTGGCTGGCCTCCAGCCAGGAGATGGCACTTTCAAGAGATCATCGGGTGCTGTAGTAGAAGGGGGATTTAGGCTAGCCCCACATTGGCCAGGATAAGTACTTGGATCTCTTAGGCAGTGGGAGGGGCCATAGAGCTCCCAAGAGTTTACGTCTTTTGTCTTCAGTTACCAGGGCAAGTAGAGAAAAATCATCAGATGGGGGCAGGGTTAGATAAGTCTGAGCTCAGACTCTCCTTGAGCAGGGCTTGCTGCAGCCGGGGGATTGGGAGTGGTTCTCAGGCCAATGGAGTTATGTTCCCAGGGGGATTATGGCTGCCTCTGCTGCATCATACAGGTCACCAGTGAAGCAAGGGAAAGCTGGCAGTGACAGGCCTTACCCAGTTCCCATGCAGCCAGCAAGTCCAGCCTCACTCCTGCCATGCCCCACCAACAACACCAGGTTTATATCCAAGCAGCTGGAGAGCAGGGCTGAGATCTTGTCCCAGGCTATAAGCCTCCTTGCTGAGTAAGGAAGCAGGACTGTCAGAACTTGTCCCACCCTGCCTGCCCACACTGTCAGCTGTGGCTTCTGTGCTGTCATCTGCACTTCCCATTCACACTCCACCCCAGATTCTGCTCAGGAAAATTTGTGCTCACTCGAAATTATTTCAAAGTTCAGTTAGAAGCATTCTTTACCCCATGGCCTATCTCCAATTCCACTGGCTACCTTCTCCGAGGACCCCAGTGTGATAAAGCCAGTAATGGCTTCCTTGGGCTGCAGCTGGGGACTGACTGGCAGTGCCTACAGGGCTCTTCCTGCTGCTTCTTCTACTTTTATATTTTGTTTGACTCCCTAGATCTGTTTCAGCTCTAGGTAAGGTTAAATCCTTCTCCTGTGATCTGGATTTTCAGGTTCTCCAGTGGGGATGTGTGTCCAGAGGCAGACCTTTCCCCAGGCACACTTTGGGAGCTCACAGGTTTTCACCTGTCTTGTCTAGTTTACAGCAGCAAGCCACTTCTTTCAAAGGGTCTGTGAATTCTTTCAGTTTTCCTGGTATGTTCCTGTGGTGGTTCTTGGAGAAAATTTTCACAATGTGAGTCTCCCATGCTGTTCTGTCCATCCAAGTTGGAGCTCATATGATTTATTCTTATAGTGATTGCCTGACCTAATCCCCTACAGTGCAGTTGAATAGCAAGGCTTTATGACAGCAGACAAGAGCTTTGGTAGCCAAGCCCCCTTCTGGAGATTTTGTAATTATTTTTATTTCTCCAGAAAAATTAAAACAAGTTATTTTCTGGTATTCAACTGAGCCCCATTTTGTGCTCTTAGAGGACATGGAAGAATCACTTCAGATCCCTGCCTGGGGCTGGTGAACTTATGGAATGTTGCTATTTATCATCCACTCATTCATTCAACAGAAAATGGGGAGCACCTTGTATAGGCCAAGCAGATGGACGAAGACAAGGATGGATAAGACACAGTCCCTGTCCTCAAAAATGCTTACAGTCTAACACCTTGAAGTCTAGTGTAGGTGCTTATACACTAGACTTCAAGGTGTTAGACTGTAAGCATTTTTGGGCGCAGGGACTGTGTCTTATAGAGCAGGTGCTTATACTCTAGACTTCAAGGTGTTGCCCCATGCTATCTCTTGCCCCTGAGCTTTTCCTCTTGTTTCCCCTCTCCCTGGAGTGCTTTTCTCCTAATCCTTTCCCATTTTTCATATTTGGACTGTTTTCTTGAAATCATTGTTTAAGACTCAACTAAGGGATCACATTCTCCAGGAATCCACTCCTGACTCTCCTTCCACCTTCCAGGGTAGATTAGGGACCACTCCTCAGGGCTTCCATTCCTTCTTCTAGTGGAAGACTCCACCCACCTGGCCTCAAGAATAGGCATATGATACAAATTAGAAGAATCAAAGCATCCAGTCTCCCTCACCCTGTGATTAGTACAAAGATGGGTGTGTGGTCCAAGCAAGCCAATCAGGGTTCTTCCTTATAATTTTTCTAACTGAAGTTGGTAGAGAAGAATTCTTTTTTTAAATCTCCCCCTAAAATTGAGTTGCCAGCAGCCATGCTTCCTAATAAGTGGAGTAATTTAGTCTAAAATCAGAAAATCAACATAAAAAAGAAGCAGAAATAAGAGATGGATATAGAGACAGAGAATTGCTATTGCAATGTGCTGTTGCAGCACAAAACAAGACGGCTGTTTTTGTGTAAAACATTTTTAAAGATAATATAGTAGACATGTTTAAAGACATTCTCAGCAAATAAATAATGAATTTGATAAGTTTTCTCTCAGCAATCAAAAAAATCAATGAAGTTAATCACCTGAAATCAGAGTTAAATATCCCAGAAAAAAATCTAAACTATTTTTAACACTATCTGAGCTAGCAACTTTGGTCAATTATAAAATGGTTTAGATTCTTGCAAACATACATACAACAATTTTAGACAAAGTGATCATTAAAACAAATAGAAACTCTTAAGTTATGGAAATTTTATTAGAAAATTATGAATACATAAAAGATATTCTACTAATTATGAGACATTTTCAATTAAGCCACCAAACAATTGCTTATAGAATACAAGATGTTTTAATAATATCAAAAACCAACTGATTCAACATTTGTTAAATTCCAAGTACTTTTCTTTAGCTTTGTAAAATCGTACACTATAGAAGATACTGCCTGATATGGTTTGGCTCTGTGTCCCCACTCAAATCTCATCTTGTAGCTCCCACAATTCCCACATGTTATGGGAGGGACTGGGTGGATGATTAAATCACGGGGGTGGGTCTTTCCCATGATGTTCTGATGATAGTGAATGGGTCTCATGAGATCTGATGGTTTTAAAAACAGGAGTGTCCCTGCACAAGCTCTCTTTCTTTGCCTGCTGCCATCCATGTAAGACGTGACTTGCTCCTCCTTGCCTTCCACCATGATTGTGAGGCCTCCTCAGTCACATGGAACTGCAAGTCCATTAAACCCTTTTTCCTGTATAAATTACCCAGTCTTGGGCACATTTTTATCAACAGCATGAAAACAGACTAATACACTGCTCAATTAATTTTTTGTGTACAAGTTGTCTGAAAAGACTCTCAAATTTACAAAGAAATGTCAATTTACGCCCTACAAAACCAAATTCATGGTGTAGGTATCTTTTGTATCTGTCAAATAAGAATTTCAGCTAAGCATGAAAATTTAGTTTCTAGCATGATAGACAGTGCTCCAGCTATGTTAGATTAAAAATCCAGATTCACTGGAATTCTAAAACAAGAGGCCAATGTTTTCATTTATGAAAATATTTTTCTGTAGCCTTCTAAAGAAGCGTCTATGGGGAGAGTCATACATAGAGGTGTTCTAACCATTCAGTACACATGTGCAAATGTGTGAATTATTGCCAGTTTATGGAAAGGACTAAAAATTAAAAGACAGTAAATTGAATGATCTTGTGTTCTTTACCAATGTCTATAGGTTGAATGGTGGAAGAATTTTAGAAGGATTTGCTGTGCTAATTCCAATTCAAAAATTTTCTTTAACAAAAAGCAATGCTTGCTAAACACTAAATCATCAAAGACAAAATATAGCATTATCACACTGCATATGAATGAGTTAAATTTGAAAGGAAAAGAAAAGCTTATTTGTTACCTAGTTAGTCAGGTATAAAAATTTATGCTAAAATTGATGATAATTTTTACAATAAATATCAATAATAATGATTGTGTATATTTCTAACATGAAGATTTTAATTGAAAGCAATAGCATAATTTAAGTTGACTGCAAAAACTACACGAAAATTTGAAGTATGGGCTGTTGGCATGCTTTGTAGGTAAATTAGTTACTTTTCAATATATGCAATATTTCTTTGAATTCTGTGCTAATAATACTAAGTTGTTCCAGGAGTTAGAGTCATTTAACTCAGACAGAAGTAATTTTGAAACTAATATGTTTTTGCTTCAAAGTTACATTAATTCTTCAAAAAAAGATGAACCAGTTTTTTGATGTAAATATGAATATTAAAGAAAAGTGAATTTTTGATATTTGATTCCATTACTGATAAATTTGTTTTCTTTTTTCTTTATTAACTCTTATTTTAAGTTGAGAGTTACATGTGCAGGTTTGTTATACAGGTAAATTTGCGTCTGGGGGTTTGTTGTACAGATTATTTTTTCACCCATGTATTAAGCCTAATACTCACTGTTATTTTTCCTGATCCTTTCCCTCCTCCCACCGTCCACCCTCCAATAGACCCCAGTGTGTGTTGTTCCCCTCTATGTGTCTATGTGTTCTCATCATTTAGCTCTCGCTTATAAGAAAGAACACGTGGTATTTGGTTTTCTGTTCCTGCATTATTTTTCTAAGGATAATGGCCTCCTACTCCATCCATGTTCCTGCAAAGAACATGATCTTGTTCTTCTTCATGGCTGCATAGTACTCCATGGTGTATATGTACCACATTTTCTTTATCCAGTCTACAATTGATGAGCATTTAGGTTGATTCCATGTCTGCTATTGTGAATAGTGCTGCAATGAATATATGTGTGCATATGTCTTTATAATAGAACAATTTACACTCTCTTAGGTATATACCCAGTAATGGGATTTTGGGATCTTGTAAGTATATTTGAAACAACTTGAATATGTGAGTCTCTGTAAACTTTATGAAATCTAAATACAGATCAAATATTTCCAGGGAAAATTTAGTGCCTAAATTAAGATGTGCTCTAAACATAAAATACACAGTGGATATTCATGACTTTGTTTCAAAAAAAGCAAAATATCTCATCATTAATTTTTTATATTGAGTACATACTGGAATAATAATATTTTGGATCTATTGAATTAAGTGTGTTGTTAAAATTAATTTCTTCTGTTTATTTTTGTTTTCTTAATGTGGCCATCAGAAAACTTAAACTCACATCTGCATCTCATATTCCCGTTCTATTGGATAGCACTAGAGTATGCATCCTTCACTGGGGCTTGTGTCTGAATAGCTACAATATATATTACCACTTGTACCATGCCAGAGATTGTGCTAAGAGCTTCACAAACATATTTAACCTCAAAACAACTCAACCTCAAAACCACACACATTTAACCACAAAACAACAATGAGGTAAGTTTACTGATAGGAAAATTGAGGCTCAAAGATGTTAGGTAATTTGCCCAGGGTCACACATCCAGTAAGTACAACCAGACTTCCAACTCAGAATCCCCAAATCTATGCCTTTAGTCAGAACTGTGGCATCCATTACTCGCCCACTATTGGTGCTTCCATGCAGGAATTCCTTCTCTGCATTTCTCAGGAAATGTATGTTTCCCAAATAGTAAGAAAAATCAATCAAGGAATTGAGAAAATAGAAAAAAAGTATTATAATTCTTTTTTGAGAATCAAAGATCAACAATTAACATAGAAATATTCCTGGTCAAAGGCATCTGCTGATGTCATGTCAAAAGCAAGAGCAAGAAACATTGACACACGAAGTTCAAGGCTAAGGTCAAAATTTCCTGGAACAGGGACAGGAGCACACAGAAGAGAAGTGGCCACAATCTCACTGGCCAGTCTTGCCTGTAGCTACCGTCTTGTCATCAACGTGTGTTCCTGGATTTTCTGCTGCAAACAGTGAGTCACTCCTCCAAATACAATAACTATTACTGTGTTTATATTATAGTAAACATTATGCAAATTCTATGAATGGTATTCAGAGAAAGAACAAGTTTTGGAAACAAAGAAAGTCTTTGAATTGGCAATTCCCACAGATGATTCTGAGAGGCCCTGTTAACCTTGCGAGGAAATCAGATGTTACATTAGTCAATACTACCCAGTGAGGTTCACTGGTGATTTCCAGCATTTGAATATTTCCAGGAAGCTTTAGTTTTTTACACCTACTACCAAAGTGTAAATGCTTTATAAATATTACCAAATACAAATATTTTACAAAGGCTACCAAACTTAATATTTCTTCTTATTTGTTAAATAAAAATTTTTAGATATCCATAGTAATGAAGAAAGAGCATGAAGAATGTTGGAGAATCTTTTTTAAATAACTTATAATTTTGGTAATTCTGGAGAATTCCCAGAAATTCCTATTTTTTTATGCCAAAATCCCAAAGATCAATGTCTGTCAAGAATTTGGAAATAGCTCCTGGCATCTTAGGCCTTTAAGACTGTTCATTGAAGGAAAGAATAAAGGAAGGGACAGGATCCACAGCACTGCGGTATTTCTCGCATGGAAATAGAAGAGAAGGAAAGAGCTAGATACTCTTTGTCTAGATACTAATAAGGTGACTAAACCTATGGCTGTGGGTAGAAAGTGTAGTTGTTTCCATGAAAGGCCTCTGTCTTCTAATGATACAAAATTAGGGTCATTCATTGAGAGGAAGGCAGGAAGTGGCTGGCAGACAGGGCTCCTAAGAGACTTACAAAGGTTTGAAATTACCCCGAGGGAGGATGAGAGTTGCCGTGGAATGCCTGGGAGGTCTTGTGGGTACCAGAGTTCTTAGCTGAAGTCTAAGCACTCACTACAGTAGAGAAAGGAAGCACGCGACAGGCTCCCAGTGCCACAGAACCTTATGGATTTTCTGAGTAGGCCCGGGGTACCCACATCCACACACAAGCACAGCCACACACACGCTCTCATAAACCGCATCTGGAACAGTGTGTGGGTGTCACTAACAAACTGCTATCCAATGTCCACACAGCCCATGGTGTGAGCTATCATGAAAGGGTGAAGTCAGTGTGACCCAGGATGGTCTGCCAGGAAAAAATCCACTGCAAACAGTAGGTGAGGAGAGGAAGACACACTCTAGCAAAAGTGGCATATTGGGCCGGGTGCAGTGGCTCACGCCTATAATCCCAGCACTTTGGGAGGCTGAGGCAGGTGGATCATGAGGGTCAGGAGTTCGAGGCCAGCCTGGCCAACATGGTGAAACCCCGTCTCTACTAAAAATACAAAAATTATCTGGGCATGGTGGTTCATGCCTGTAGTTCCAGCTACTTGGGAGGCTGAGGCAGGAGAGTCGCTTGAACCTGGGAAGTGGAGGTTGCAGTGAGCTGAGATCGCGCCATTGCACTCCAGCCTGGGTAACAGAACGAGACTCTGTCTCAAAAAAAAAAAAAAGTGGTATCTTGGAGCAACTGGATCTCGTGTCAAGAATGATTGTGTTTGAAACTCCTTGACTCACCCTGCATTTCACCCCTTCCCTACAAAACCATGACTACCAGCTCTAGGAGGAACCCAAATTTGGCTCTTCTCAAAAACTAAGAGTCAGGTGGCCTGGTTTCCAGCCTCAGCTATATCACTAGTTTAGTGAGTGACCCTGGGCTTCTCTGAGGTCCAGCGTGATCTTCTGGTTAGTGGGGCATTTCTCTAGGCATGTTTGTGCTCTGTTAGCTTTCTGCCTCAAGAAACAGAGACTTACATATAGTTCTGCACCTGGAAGGACATTCAGAGTCCAAGGTGCCCTTTGTGGGTTCAGTGTACACCTGTGGCAGCTGCAGGGGCTTGCTGTCCTTAGCTCTAGTACTCATGTTACTATAGATGGAGCTAGGTTCCTTCTGTGTGTGTGTGTGTGTGTGTGTGTGTGTGTGTGCATGTGCGTGCACTTCTCCTTGGATGCCTGCTTGCTTCTGTCTCTCATGGACCATTCAGAGAGAGAGAGATAATCTGATTGGCTTGGAAACATCCATCTTTCTGGTTTGGGCTTAACCTTTTCGGCTAAGCCATCTCATAGAACAGTTGCCCAGCCTACAGCTCAGCTGCCTTCGGGTCAGGTGCCCACCACAACTCTCTCAGCTGTGTCCAGAAGGGATTGGCCATGTGACAGAATGTGGCAACTGTGAGCTCAGGACTCCCCCAGCTGCTCCCTTTTGGGGGCTGTAAGACACCAGGCATCCTGCTCCCCAGAGCTCCCTCCAGCTCTGGCACTTATGGAGGTTAACCTATCCCAACCCCATGCTCCACCTCCTAATAACATTTGATTGTATGCCAGCTGGTGCCGGACTCTGAGCTGGCGGGCGTATGTTACACTCTATACTTCTCTCAGTGGCTCTCCAAGTTAGATGGGCCCGTCTTTACAGAAACAGAAACTAAGGCCCAGTAAGTTAAAGTCACTCAGATAATAAGGGGTGGAACCAGGAGTAGAACATAGGTCTATGTAATGCTAGGACTTATTTTCTTTCTATTGTTACCCTTATGTTTCCTTGCAAAATCTTTATAATCAATTTCTCCCTTAGACCCTGCATCTCAAAGAACAGTAATGTATTCAAGAGAAGAACAACCATGGCAGGAATCTGACAATAATCATCCATATCTACTCCCTTCTCCAAGCAGAAGTGCAAGGGTTCGCAGGCCAGCCCTGCCTTCCAGGCCGCTGACAACATCCAGAGCTGGCTACACAGCACGGCCCCCTCCAGGCCCAGCAGAGGCGGCAGAGAGACATCCCGGAAATAAATTAAAACAGACTGATTATCCTCTCTGGGTGTAGCTTAAACCATATCAGAAAAATTGCCTAGAAATAAAATTGGATAGCAGCCCTGACAAACCAGTGCAAGTAATTATATCAACTTGATGGCAATAATTATTTTTCATAAAACTCAGTTACTTCCCACCTCCAATAAATCTACCGTAGGATAATTCTGTAATATGTTTTCACTGTACATAAAACCAGGAGTCGTCACCAAGTGTGCCGTGAATATGCATTGAGTTTCATACCTTCTCCAAAGACCTTGAACTGTCTGTGGATCCTGCAGCTCATTGACAAACACCCGGGCCTCACAGATGCCAGGACAGCTCTTTGGGTAGGGCCTGGGGGTTGTGCCATGGCCTGGTGTCAACCTTGCAGCACTTCTGAGTTTTGCTAAGAAACAGTCTTCACGGTGTTAGGGAGGACACTCTGACAAGATGGTGGCGGGGAGGAGAATGGAGAACATTAGGGGATTTGGATCCATTAAGCACCCTCCTTCCATTTCTCCTGTTTCTCCTCCTGTTCTACGGTCATAGACACACAGCAGTAGTTCCCTCTTTTAAGAGAGCGTTGGCTGGGTTCGGAATGCGGTGCACTAGTCCCAGCCTTGCCAGTCAACCTGCTGTGGCCTTGCTAACCCTCATCGCTTCTTTGGACATCTGGTTTCTCATCTGTAAAGATACAGATAATGCCACTTTACTTCATTTATTTATTTTCTTTTTTTTAAAAAAAAATATGAGATGGAGTCTTGCTCTGTCACCCAGGCTGGAGTGAGGTGGTATGACCCAGCTCACTGCAGCCTCGAACCCTTGGACTCAGGGAATCCTCCCACCTCAGCCTCTTGAGTAGTGGGGTTACAGGCCCACATCTCCATGCCTAGCTGCTTTTTTTTTTAATTAAAGACTTTATTTGAAGAAAATTTAGGTTCATAGCTGTATCAGTCTGTGCTCGCATTGCTATAAAGAAATCCCTGAGACTGGGTGCTTTATAAAGAAAAGAGGTCTAACTGGCTCATGGTTCGACAGGCTGTACCGGAAGCATAGAGGCTTTTGCCTGGCTTCCGGGGAGGCTCTGGGAAATTTTAGATTGTGGAGAAAGGCGAAGGGGAAGCAGAACTGTCTTGAACGTTTTATACGGCTGGAGCCGGAGCAAGAGAGAGAGGCTGGGAGGTGCTGCACACTTTTAAACAACCAGGTCTCATGAGAACTGTATCATGAGAATAGTACCAGGGACAGGGTGCTAAACCATTCATGAGAAACCACCCCAATGATCCAATCACCTCTCACCAGGCCCCATCTCCAACACTGGGGATTACAATTCAACCTGAGATTTGGGTGGGGACACAGATAAACCATATCAACAGCAAAACAGCAGGAGGCACAGAGATTTCCCATATATCTGCTGCCCCCACACTTATATCGCTCCCCCATTGTCAACATCCTCCACCGAATGGTATAGTTGTTACAGTCGGTGAACCTACATTGCCACGTCATCACCCAAAGCTCATAGTTTACATTAGGGCTCCCTTTTGGTGTTGTACATTCTATGGGCTTGGACAAGTGTATGATGATATGTAAACACCATACGGTGCTTTCACTTCCCTAAAAATCCTCTGTGTTCCAACTATTTCACCCATCTGTCCATTGTGTGTTGCTATAGCAAAATATCCGAGACTGAGTGATTTATAAAGAACAGGAATTTATTTCTCACAGTCTGGAGGCTGAGACGTCCAAGAGCAAGGTACTGGCAGGTTCAGTTGTCTGTGACAGTTGCTCTCTGCTTCCAGGATGGCGTCTTGTTGCTGCATCCTATGGAGCGGGGAATGCTGTGTCCTCACATGGCAGGAGGCAGAAGGACAAGAGAGCCAAATGCTGTGAAGCCTCTTTATAAGGGCCTTAATCCAATTCATGAGGGCAGGAGCCCTCATACCTAATTGCTCTTACAGACCTCACTTCTTAATACCATCACACTGGCCATTAAGTTTCAACATCTGAATTTTTAAGGGGACACATTCAAACCATAGTATCATCTCCCCCCAAACTAATTCATTTGGTTCTGTGGATCTTCCTTAAGTACCTCTTCTGTGCCAGGCACTGTGTTCAGTGTCTCCAGCAGTACTTGAGACTGTCCTCGACTTCCTGATGCTGACAGTCAAGGGGGGAATACAAGCCAACATTGAATTATAGGTGTACTGGTTATGATGATGGAGAAACAGGAGATGCAGCAGGAGCATTGAGCAGGGGATCTAATCCAGCTGGTTGGTGGGGGGATTGGCGAGGAGTAGTGGTAGGGAAGGCTTCCCGGTGGTAGTGACACTTAAGCTGATACCTAAAGGAGAATGTGGAGAGAGTCTCTGGCAGAGGAAAGGTGCCAATGGCTTAGAATAGGGAAGCACCTTAGCCCAGAGCCTGGAATTCCTGGAGGACAGGAATTGTGTCTTGGTCTTCCTCCTATGTCATGGCTGGACAAGTGTTTGCTCATCTGTAACAAGCTTGTGAAGCAGGCATTGTGATCTAGACCCTATAGATATGAGCCCGACCCAGGCCACAGTCTGCTTTTGGTAGAACAACATCTGCCATCTTCCAAACCAATGCTGTGTCCAGATATAAGGGTCAGATGAGGTCCCAGATGTGAGGGTCAGATGAGGTCCTAGAGGCAACAAGAGTTTGAGACCTAAGAGCTGCTGAACACATGACACCTGGTGATTATTTCTGTAGATTCCTTCCTTTTTTCTCTCTCTGAATGGCAACCACTAGGACTGTGGCTCCCAGAACAGCTGCCCAGCTGCCTTGTTTTCGCTTGGATGTAATTTCTGAGTGAGAACTTTATACTTGTGCTTCTCTTCTCCATCTGTGCCTGAATTTGAAATTCCAAGGAGCAGTCCTCCTCCGCTGCTGGAAGCTGGAAAGGTGCCTTCTCCTTAGTCCCCGGGAAGCCCACCTGCTCCCCTAGGGTCCGATCAAGACTGCAGGGCTCCTCATGTTGGCCCACCAGACCCTCCCAGGAGCTGCCAGTAAACCTGGTACAGATTGCACGGGAGGGTAGAAGCATATATTTCCATATTAATTGGTTATTTAGCATCACTTTAAAAGGTTGACAAGTCTCAGACACATCATTTTGACTATAAACAAAAGGAGGCTCTGCTATCTCTTTTCGAATTTGAGAGCGTTGTCAGCTGTGCCAAGGGACCTCTACTTTGACTTGAATTCTCATTATTTCAGAGAAAGTTCTCCCTGGTCTTTGGTCTTATTCCTAACCAATCCCTTAGCCCTAAAGACCCTCACTATCGCCCTCCCCATCTCCTGGGTCAGGGGAGCAGAGGGAATCAGAGAGAGTCCATGTTTTTCCCATATGACACAGAGTCTGGACAGTCTGTGGCTGTGCTCACCTCAGGCTGCCCAGTTCTCTTTCTCGGCACCACTCAGTGGGTCACAGTGATCACTGCTAATCAAGACAAAAGTCCACACACAGTGTCCCTGAACAGCTCTTCCCACTGCTCCCCATTTAGTTGTCCCCATTATTACAGGATTGTTACAGGGTCAGATATGAAAAAGTAAAGAAAAAATACCACCCGGGTGCAGTGGCTCATGCCTGTAATCCCAGCACTTTGGGGGGCCGAGGTGGGTGGATCACGAGGTCAGGAGATCAAGACCAGCCTGGCCAACATGGTGAAACCCCCGTCTCTACTAAAAATACGAAAAAATTAGCCAGGTGTGGTGGCGGGTGCCTGTAGTCCCAGCTACTTGAGGAGGCTAAGGCAGGAGAATCACTTGAACCTAGGAGGCAGAGGTTGCAGTGAGCCAAGATCATGTCCCTGCACTCCAGCCTGGCGACGGAGCGAGACTCCGTCTCAAAAACAACAACAACAACAAACCAAAACAGCAAAGTGATTGAAGGCAGTGGGGGGTTCTATAATTATGATTGGGAATCTAGGTTAGTGGAACCTACTGCAATTGTGTCTGAAGCAAGATAGCCACAGAACTCAGCTTATTTAATAAGAGGCATGCAAGGTGGTCAGGGGAGATATGTGTCCCTTAAGACAGGATCCACTGAAGGATTCAGAATTGGATTTGTGCTCGCTGGATGTGTTCAGAGGACAGAGCACCCAGATTGCTGGGCTGTCCTATTAAAACCTTAGAAAAATCCCATGCTGCTTCTGGGATGGGCCGTGGCTCTTAGCTGGACTTTTCAAGCCACAGTAATTAGAATTAGTTCAAAGTCTAAACTTGAATGAAGTGATAGCAAGTCTATATTGCACAGGAAGACATGTGATTATATCCAGGCTCCTTACGCTGAGGACTGAATGGTCAGGACTGGGTCTTATGCCCA